>NT_113949.2:0-177381 GCF_000001405.40 Homo sapiens | reverse complement strand
GAATTCCCCATGAGTCCTGTGACCTCAGCCCACACGGGGACCTACAGGTGCTACGGCTCACTCAGCTCCGACCCCTACCTGCTGTCTCACCCCAGTGGCCCCGTGGAGCTCGTGGTCTCAGGTGAGGGCGCTGACCCTGTCCTCTCTGAGCTCAAAGGCTCAGCTCAGGCCCTGCCCCCAGCAGAGCTCTGGACACTAAGGAAAGAGGGGAGTGAAGGGAGAGGGTCCGCAGGGGAGGGTCCAGCCCATGGGAAGATGGAAATAGACAGGGACCTCCCACCCCTGGCTCCCACCCCTGAAGTCTCAGTAGAGTAAAGTGCAGGGAGGGCTGGGAGGAGACGGGGGGTGAACCTCAAAGGAGTTGAGATTAGACTGAGGGTGGAAGACGGAGGCCCCACCTGCTCCCATCCTGGTGTCTCCACCTCAGAATCAGAGCCTCTGTGTCCCAGTCCCCAACAGACGCCCTCCTGGAGAGAGAAGCATCCAGGCTGCCGGTGCCACCTGCATCCACCCCCGACCCCCCCCCACCCCGCCCCACTTCCTGCTTTCCCCTGCAGCCTCCCCAGCACTCAGCGCACACCTGAGCCTCACAGGGACTTGCACGTGCTCCCGCAGCAGCTCAGGGAATGTGCACCGCTCCTCTTCTGCGCCGTTGACATTTTTTATTTGGGTTTTTAAAATCTCATATTGGCCTTTTTGTCCAAGCTGGTGAAAGTAGATTTGCAGCATCACCTATTTTTATTCTCACCCGGTTTCGTAATAGCCCTGATCTCACGTGCTCCCTGAGGTTTTGTAAACTTCAGGTAGAAATGTGGACTTCCTTCGTTCTGGACATTTGCTATGGAGGGGGTAGGGCTTATCTTTTCAGAAAAAGTCAAATGACTGGTACCACTCCTTGAAACCCTACAGCACTTTCCAGACCTCAGAGGGAGGGAGAGAGAGGCAGAGACAGAGACAGAGAGACAGAGAGAGAGATATTGGGGCCGCTCTTTCCTGGCCGGTTCATCCTGGCCTATTCTCAATCCACCAAGGCCCCGAAGCTCATCTCCCCTCCTCCTCTGCCTCCTCCTCCACCCTGTAGACAAGCGGCCATTCCTTTCTGAAGAACAGGCTGAGACCTTTCTGGGACCTGCTCTTTCTGGAGCCTCTGTTGCTCCCTGTCTGGGTCTCCACACGCCTCCTTCCTGGCCCTTTTTCCTATTGAGGAATCAGCTTCAATGTCACCTCCAAGTGTGACCTTCACTGACGACACAGCTCAGCCCAGTCCTGCCTGCTTCTCATTTATGTCAAGTAATTAACCAACCTACACCATGCGGCTGAATTCCTTCTCTCTCTCTTCCACTCTCTGCATATACGTGTGTGTGTGTGTGTGCGCGTGTGTGGTCACACCAACATCTTACGTGACATTGAAACCTAGTTATCCGTATATCTATACAAATAATATATATTCACACATAAATATAGGTCTCTACCAATATATCTAAAACCATTGCTACGACTAGTAAATTTCCACTGCTGTGTTTCTATATGTTTGCTGTTTGTCTCCAGGTGAACCCACACTTCAAGAAGGCAGAGATAGTTTTTAAGGCCCACTATATATATAAAACAGATATATATTTGTGTTTGTGTTTTTCTGTGTGTGTATCACATTCTACCTGTTGCTGCCTATACGAATAATTAGCTACCTAGAGATTAAATGGACAATGAAACTCCAGGTGAAGTGGCTGAGGGCATGAAGGGGAGGCAGCCCCAGAATTTCACCCCTTTGTGCTTCTGACATTGAGGCTCCCCTGATGACTAACCCTCATCCACGGAGCCTGGGTCCTCAGCTGGTGGATCCGTGAAACTCTCATCTCCGGGGGAGTTGGCTCATGTTCTCCTGTGTCCCAGGCTGCACAGAGAGCACACAGGCCTTAGTGACCTCTGTACTGGGGACCACTTTCCTTGCAGATCCTGAGCTCTCAGGATGCAGGAAAACTCTCTCCCAGATGACTCAGGAGCAATGTTTAAATCCATAGAACACAGGAAAACTGAAATCGTTCAATGAGGAGACTAGAGGGAATCCTGCTAGCGGAGGAAGAGGTTTTTTTTTTTTTTTTTTAGAAATTCTGTAAAAGTCACATCATGAGACATTAAGTAATAAAAAAAAAATTGCAGAGCCCAGGTGAGAGGCTGGGCTCAGGTCTCTTTTTCTCTGTTTTGATTCTCTGGAGCAGCTGATACCCTCAGCCCATCACAAAACAAGTCTGACTCTGAGACTGGTATGTGAGGAGATACTCTCAGTGATGGGGCTGGCACTGAGGGTTGGGTCCTGTGAAGGGGAGGTGGGTGCCCTGGGTGGACAATCTGATCCACCCTGACCTCTGTGACCTCTTTGTCCACCATCCCCAGCCTCACACCTTCAGGATTACGCAGTGGAGAATCTCATCCACATGGGCGTGGCTGGCTTGATCCTGGTGGTCCTCGGGATTCTGTCATTTGAGGCTTGGCACAGCCAGAGAAGCTTCCCAAGATGCAGCCGGGAGGTGAACAGCAGAGAGGATAATGTACTTTATAGAGTCGTGAAGCCTCAGGAACAGATCTGATGATCCCAGGAGGTTCTGGAAGAAAATCTAGGGCCGATGCTATCTGGACTGTCTGCTGGTCATTTCCAGAGGAAGGAATCAATGTCCGAGTGCAGGGACATTTTCTGGGGTGATCCATGGAGAACCATTAAAATGTGATACCTTTCCTCTCCATTAATGTTGACTTTCCTTGGTTGGATCTGCCTCTTTTCCCACACTTAGACATGAGGCTCCATCCCACATGGCAGCGTTGGGTCCACACCTCTGCACACCTGCATGCTCTGGTCCATGGCGTGTCACACAGTCCTCTTCATTTCTCATTGCCACACTTCCTGGTGTACTTTACTGGGTCTTCATGTCTTCAGTTCAGAGTTCCGCACCTGGTTTAGGAACTAATTCAACGGGAGAAGATCAGAGTCCGACCAGGAAAAGATAAATGCACCGTGATGCCCTCACCTCCTGTGTGGACCCTATGAGCTCTTCCCTCCTTATCAGATGCTATCTGTGTAGTTTCTCCTGAAATATCACCACCTGGAATCAACACACTGGCATTTGAAGTCACGACCCAATGGTATGCTAATTCTGAAAAAGACATTTTTTGAAATGCTATGATTAGTGGCATTTACCAATTTCCTTGACGTAAATTCTTTTTTCATGGCCATAATCAAGATGCCAACGAGACATCCCTGAATGCAGGGTTGGGAAGCGTTGGACAGACTTGTCTTCACTCATAAGCACCAGGCATCTGATAGCTCACGTATACATCTTATTACCTTCCATTTTAGAGTGAATAATCATTTCTACTTCAGTATTTTGGCACAGGTAAAAGCAGTCCCATTACTGCGCGTATACCCAAAGGAATATAAATCATTCTATTGCAAAGATACATGCACACATGTGTTCATCGCAGCACTATTCACAATAGCAAAGACATAGAATCAACCCAAATGCCCATCAATGATAGACTGGATAAAGAAAATGTGAGACATATACACCACGGAATACTATGAAGCCATAAAAAGAAACAAGATCATGTCCTTTGCAGGGACATGGATGGAGCTGGAAACCATTATCCTCAGGAAACTAACACAGGAACAGGAAATCAAACGCTGCATGTTCTCACTTACAAGTGGGTGCTGAACAATGAGAATGCGTGAACACAGGGAGGGGAACAACACACACTGGGGCCTGTCGGGGGGGGGGTGGGGTAGGGGTAGGGAGAGCATTAGGAAAAATAGCTAATGTATGCTGGGCTTAATACCTAGGTGATGGGTTGACAGGTGCAGGAAACCACCATGGCGCACATTGACCTATGCAATAAGCCCACACATTCTGCACATGTACCCCGGAACTTAAAATAAAAATAAAAATTAAAATTAAATTATGACACCATGATCCTAGCATATCCAAAAAAGACAAAAATGCCAATATCAAATGTCGGAGAAAATAGGGCTGAATTAAAAATCCAATACAACGCCGGGCGCAGTGGCTCACGCCTGTAATCCCAGCACTTTGGGAGGCCAAGGTGGGTGGATCACTTGAAGTCAGGAGTTTGAGACCAGCCTGGCCAAACGTGGTGAAACCCTGCCTCTACTAAAAATACAAAAATTAGCCGGGTGTGGTGGCACTCGCCTGTAGTCCTAGCTACTAGGGAGGCTGAGGCAGGAGAATCACTTGAACCCGGGAGGCGGAGGTTGCAATGAGCTGAGATCATGCCACTGAACTCCAGCCTGGGTGACAGAGCGAGACTCCGTCTCAAAAAAAAAAACAAAAAAAAAAAACCCTCAAAAGCTCAGGCAGCAAAAGCAAAAATAGGCAAATGAGATCATAGCAAACTGCAAACCTTCTGCACAATCAAGGAAACAAACAGCAGAGTGAAGAGACCACCTACAGAATGGGAAAGAATATTTGCAAGCAAGAGATTAATCTCCAGAAAATACAAGGAGCTCAAACAATGCAGAGGTTTTGAAGGATGGTGATGAGAAGGTTCTGCTACTTACAGAAAGGAAGTTTAGGAGAAACAAAACCACAAACCTAGGTGGTGGGATGGCTTGATCTGCTTCTGTCTGTGACTCACTTAACAGTCTTAAACACATCTCCCTAAGCCTCCTTCCCCCGGTGGGATTCCTGGGTCTTGTGAGGACCTCATCGGTCCCTCTGGTAAACCCAGGCACAGAGTGGAGCAGCTCTTGTTTTCTCAGGATCTTCCCCTTCACATACAATTAACGCACCCACACGATGCTACTCTTAGAACCCTTCAAATAAATGTTTCCCGGTTCATTCACTACCAGAATCCAAGCTCAGCTTGTTCCCCAGCTTAGGACTGAGTGGTATCTTGGAGGTAGTTTCCACCATAGCCCCCTTCCTCTGCTATAAGGCTCAGTGACACACCAGAGACACCCCCTCCAGCCAGGCTCCTGGAAGGTCTGGATGAAGACTGGGATGCTGAGGCATTGCTCAGCAATGTGGCTTAACTCAAACTTCTATGTGAAACTTCCAACCACTTTCAGCAAGGGGTCACTTCCAGCGTCTTGGGGTGTGAGGGCACTTTGGTTGGTCCCTGCAATATCAGACCCTATAAAGATCCTACAAACATGTTGCAGACTCTTTGAAGATTCTGGCACTTTCAGACATGCTGTTGGGAAATGGTGACACCCATAACCTTCTAGTTCCAGGACAGGGAGCCTTAGCCCAGGGCTATGTTTTCTGAGGGTCCTCAAAGTAAACAGTTCTATGTGCCAGGAGAACCCTAAATCTCATATGGTTCTAAGGGCAGAAAGCCACACACGCACCGGCAAAAAGCAAGAGATTCAAGGAAAAGCTGAGCAAAGACAGACAGGAAAACACACACATGATGAGCCAGCTTGTAGAGCTAGAACTGAGATGGAGAGAGGCACGAGTGGGTAACAGAGTGTGCTCCCCAGAACAGGTGGAGAGAATGCCTTTTTCATGCCCTGAGGATAGGCTGGGTAAGGCTTGTGCTCGACAGTCAAGGACTATTTTTTTCCCCAGGCGTCTACAAGAGACCTTCCTTCTCAGCTCAACTGTGCCCTGCAGTAAGTAATGATGGAGAGAATGTGACTTTGCTCTGCAGCTCTGGAAGCTCATTTGACCTGTGCCTTCTAACGAGGAAGGTAAGGCCCCTGGACACTGGCTCACTGGGGTGCAGAGACAGAGTGGGGCATTCAGGCCAACTTCTCTCTGGGTCTTGGGGCTGGTGATGGGACCTCTAGATGCTGCAGCTCTCTGTCGATGGCTCTGCCTGTGAGTGATCAGCCCTAGATGACCACTGTTACTGGGGGTAGCCCATGCCTGCTGCATGCCCTGTGAAACACTAAATCATATAGCCACGTCTGAGGGACAGCCTGCTGGAGACATGGGAATCTTAGGGATTCCAGACAAAATGAAGCAATGAGAAACACAAAGAGGAAAAGAGAGGTTGAGTATGACAGTGGTGTCAGGGTGTAGGGTGGTAGACAGGGCAGCTCCACACTCTCCACTGCTTCCTGTCTGGAGGCCCACTTTGGGGTCCTACTTATCCAGGTGAGTGAAGGAAGAGGTCAGGACAAACACAGGAGGTGAAGCCAGATACAGTGTGGGGAGATAAGCAGTGGCCTCAGCCTCTAGCCCTTTTCCATCTTCCAGAAGCCCCTCCTGAGCTCTCATCACAGACAGATTTCCCATTTGGAAACCCAGATATTTATCATGCCGGGGGGGGGAGGCAATGTCTCTTGATTATGGGGACTTTCCATCACCAGGCACCTGCTAGTCCTCTCTATACCTTCCCTTCAGGAAAGGAATTGTCCCTCATGGGATTCCAGGGAAGAGACCCCAGGACCCCTATCAGTCACTAGGGAGATGACAGAGTAGAGGAAGTCAGGGGACCAACCCTCCACAGAGAATGGTCCTACTTCAGTGGGGTGAGGGAAACTCTCACTCATCCATTTGCTGTCCTGTTACCTCGGAACCCTAAGAGAACTTGTTAGTCACACACAGAATCTACCCCTGAATGTGGTGTGCAAAGTGGGGCTCTTAGCCTCCAGTGTGAAGTCCCTGGGAAGATGGAATGTCCCTGTGTGAGTGAAGGCTGTGCCACCGCCCAGCTATGTGGCCTTGGGCTAGGCAACCCCTCCCAGGTCCCCAGTTCCCCATCTGCATCGGAGACTGTGGCCAGTGCGGGAATCCACAAGGCCCTTCAGCCTCCAAAGCTCTGGGACAGAGGCCTCGTCCACAGGGAGGAAGGGGTCAGAGTGACCTGAGTCCCTACTCAGGAGCGAGTCTAATCCACTCTCCATCGGGGCCTGTGGGGAAGGGAAGATGAAGAAACGGAGCCTGCACCTGGCTATGTGGGCGCAGTAGATTAAGGGGAGGATGAGGGTTCCTGAGAGTGTGTCATGTGGCAGAGACCCTGCAGCACACTCAGGAAGGGCTCTGGAAGGATCCAAGGAAATTTTCCAAGAAGAGGGCAGAGTAAGTGACAGAGACCCTCAACCATGGATTTCACTGAGGTGCCCATGATGACATAGGGAGAACGGGGGTGTCTGGGCAGGAAGAATATCGTCAGGGTGAAATGAATGGTGATGAGCTTCGTGTCAGAGCTCCTGTGGAGGGAGGGGCCTGGCCCACATGAAAAGGTCTCTGATCCTACCCCAGCCCCCAGCCCCTGTTCTCCAGGATGACACTGTGGGAATTCCATCAGGAGGGGTGTGATAGGGCTGGTCTTCCTGGCTCGATTCACAACACTGGCTGGGGACTGGGAACCCATGGGGAGCCACAGGTGGAAAGGGAGGAGCCTCAGTGAACCCAGCAGGAACAAACATAGGGTCTGACATGATGGAACTCACTTCCTGGAGGCCAAGAAAGACACTTGCGGGACAAAAGGGAAAGAGCGGTGGCTTGCTTAGTTCCATTCACTGACAACCCACAGGAGATGTCCAGTCCTTTTTTGATTTATTATTTTATTTTATTATATTTTATTTTATTTTATTTTATTTTCACATGGAGTTTTGCTCCTATTGGCCAGGCTGGAGTGCAATGGCACGATCTTGACTCACTGCAACCTCCACCTCTCAGGTTCAAGCGATTCTCCTGCCTCAGCCTCCTGCATAGCTGGGATTACAGGCGACTGCCACCACAGCCAGGTAATGTTTGTATTTTTAGTAGAGATGAGGTTTTGCCATCTTGGCCAGGCTGGTCTCAAACTCCTGATCTCATGTGATCCGCCTGTATCAGACTGCCAAAGTGTTGGGATTACAGGCGTGAGCCACCACACCCAGCCTTTTGTATTTTTAGTAGAGATGGGGTTTCACCATGTTGGTCAGGCTGGTCTTAAACTCCTGACCTCAGGTGATCCATCCACCTCGGCCACCCAAAGTGCTGGGAGTACAGATGTTAGCCACCGTACCCAGCGAGAGTTTCAGTGCTCTATCGGATTCCCTGCCTACTCCATGTTGCATGTAATGTTCCACCTCAGGGATGTTTCTCTCCTTTCTGTCTCCTTCCTCTTCTCCTTCTCCTTTTTTCTTTCTAATTTTTATTTTTTTGAGACAGAGCCTTGCTCTGTTACCCAGGCTAGAGTACAGTGGCACGATCCCAGCTCACTGCAACCTCTGCCTCCTGGGTTCAAGAGATTCTCCTGACTCAGCCTCTCAAGTAGCTGGGATTACAGGCACCCGCCATCACACCCAGCTAGTTTTTGTATTTTTAGTAGAGACGAGGTTTCACCATGTTGGCCAGACTGGTCTTGAACTCCTGCCCTCAGGTAATCCACCCGCCTGTGGCCCCCCAAAGTGCTGGGATTACAGGCGTGAGTCACCACTCCCAGCCCTGAATGATCTTTCCTCTTTAGTGTGTTCTCACAACCACCTCTCACTGAGCTTTCTTGTTTTTTGTTTTTGTTTTTGTTTTTGTTTTTGTTTTTGGCAGAGTCTGGCTTTGTTGCCTATGCTGGAGTGCAGTGGTGCAATCTCAGCTCACTGCAACCTCCGTCTCCTGGGTTCAAGCGATTCTCCCACCTCAGCCTCCTGAGTAGCTGGGATTACAGGCACCCACCACCACACCCAGCTAATTTTTGCATTTTTAGTAGACACAGGGTTTCACCATGTTGGTCAGGCTGGTCTCGAACTCCTGACCTTGTGATCTGCCAGCCTCAGCCTCCCAAAGTGCTGGAATTACAGGCATGAGCCACCACTCCCAGCCCTGGATTATCTTTCCTCTTTAGTGTGTTCTCACAACTACCTCTCACTGCTGGGTTTTCTCTCTTTCTTTTTTTTTTTTTTTTTTTTTTTTTTTGAGACAGTCCGGCTTTGTTGCCCAGGCTGGAGTGCAGTGGCGCGATCTCGGCTCACTGCAAGCTCCACCTCCCAGGTTCAAGCGATTCTCCCACCTCAGCCTCCCTAGTAGCTGGGATTACAGGCGCATGCCAGCACACCCAGCTAGTTTTTGTATTTTTAGTAGAGACAGGGGTTTCACCATGTTGGTCAGGCTGGTCTTGAACTCCTGACCTTGTGATCTTCCTGCCTCGGCCTCCCAAAGTGCTGGGATTACAGGTGTAAGCCACTGCACCCAGCCAGCTTTCTCATTCTTATCCCTTAGTTCTCTGCCAGGGAATAAGATAGAAACCATTCCCTCAACCACATTCTAGTCATGGTCCCTATTCTCATGTTTCCACTTCTCTCTCTTTGGTAATAAATCAATTAATTGAGAAACAAGTAGCTAAATGTTCATCTTCTGCTAGTCTGCATCCCCTTATTTTCCCAGAGCCTCCCCTAATGAAACTGACTTTATTTACTGAACGCAGGAAATGGGTCTCTCCAGATCAGGATGACTTTCTGCTGGGAAATATTTGTCTTTGCATCAGTGGGGAAAAAGAAAGCCGATGTCATGAGTGGAGGCTCTGAGAAAATAAGGGCTGTGTTTTCAGTTTAGACCCAGCTAAGTTGGGAGCTGACATAGATATGATGTTGGGTCCACCCTCCACGGGCAGGTTTTCAGACAAAGGATCCCTGGCAATCAGGGGACACCTCAGGTCTGGGCTGAGATGTGTGCAGAGGGCCTGGGTCCTCCTGAGCCCCTGCACTGGGGGGGGAATAAGAGACAGGCCCAGCAAGGGGCTGTCCACTTCCTGTGGGTTCACAGCTGTGGGGACCCAGGCAGGCGGCAGCAGGCTCTGACTTAACCACATCCGTGCATCTGTCTGTCATGGAGGGCCATGTGGTCACCTGTCCCACAGCTGGAGCACGCAGAGCAGGCATCATGGTGTCCATCCTCACTGTTCTTCTGTGCCTCAGTCAGTGGTGGAGAGACGAGGGACAGGAGGGGCACTGGGCTGAGGTGGGGAGGGTCCCACAGCAGCCTTGTTCACCAGAGAGCCTCAGGGCTCCAGTGGCTACTGGTGCTCCAACAGGAAGGGAAGCAGCCACACCTCTGTGTTCCAAATCCCCCACAGGAAACTCTTCTCCATGGCTGAGTCTGGGCCAGAAAGCCCAAGCACTTGCAGGTGAGTCTCTGCTAACCTCCCATGCCTGACCTCACACTCAGCACCTGGACTCTCATCTCAGGGGCTTCTGAACTGAGGGTGAGAAAATCAAGAGGGTCTGTGACCTGAGCTGGGAATGAGGAGCGGGGGAGGTCTGTGGACCCCAGCCTGTGGTTTCTTCCAGGGACCCTCCCCAAACCCAGCCTCTGGGCTGAGCCAGGCTCTGTGATTACCTGGGAGAGCCCCATGACCCTCTGGTGCCAGGGGACCCTGGATACCCAGGGTTACTATCTCACCAAGGAAGGAAACCCCATGACCTGGTACCAACAGAGCCCACCAGAGCCCAGGAACAAGACCAACTTCTTCATCCCATCCATGAGAGAGCACCATGCAGGGAGATACCACTGTCACTATCTCAGCCCTGCAGGCTGGTCAGAGCGCAGCGAGCCCCTGGAGCTGGTGGTGACAGGTAAGAGGACACTCAGGGGTCCCAGCCCCAGGCTCTGCCTGCAGGAAGGGGGTCAGCTCTCAAGGGCATCTCCGTTCTAATAACTCAGCCCTGGGGGATGATGTGGGACGCGTGAGCCCCATTTAAGACAGTGTCTCCTTCTCTCCTAGGAGCCCACAGAAAACCCACTCTCTCAGCCCTGCCGAGCCCTGTGGTGACCTCAGGAGAGAACGTGACCATCCAGTGTAGCTCAAGGGTGGGATTTCACAGGTTCATTTTGATTGAGGAAGGAGAAAACAAGCTCTCCTGGATGCTGGACTCACAGGAACTCTCCAAGGGGCTGTCCCTTGTCCCTGGCCCTGTTCCCTGTGGGCCGTGTGGCTGCCAGTCACCGGTGGATGTTCAGATGCTATGGGCATTACACGAACTTCCCCTGGGTGTGGTCGGAACCCAGTGATACCATGGAGATCCTGGTCTTAGGTATGGATGTCTTCCTCCTTGCCCTATTTATTTTTGAGAACTTACTCTCACGGAGCCCCATGTAGGAGGGTGGAACAAGGGAAGTTTGGGACTCCTGAGCCCAGAGACACTGAGTGTGAGAGACAGTGAGACCTGCAGGGCCAGGAGGGGAGAAGGAAGGGGTGTGGGAGGAACCAGCCCTCCTAGTCCCGACTCTTCTTTCCCTCCAGGCGTGTCTAGGAAGCCCTCCCTCCTGACCCTGCAGGGCCCTGTCGTGGCCCCTGGGGAGAATCTGACCCTCCAGTGTGGCTCTGATGTCGGCTATGACAAATTCACTCTGTACAAGGAGGGGGGACATGACCTCGTCCAGGGCTCTGGCCGGCAGCCCCAGGCTGGGCTCTCCCAGGCCAACTTCACCCTGGGCCCTGTGAGGGTCTCCCACGGGGGCCAGTACAGATGCTACGGTGCACACAACCTCTCCTCCGAGTGGTCGGCCCCCAGTGACCCCCTGAGCATCCTGATCGCAGGTGAGGAGCCCAGCAGGTTCAGTCAGGGACCCAGGCTCCGCACAGGCCCTGCTGGGGGAGCCCAGGTGGTGATGGCCGGGATGAGGGGTGGGGGTCCTAAGGGACGGAGAGACAGACAGAGACAGGGGATGGGCGGGGAGGGGGAGACTCAGAGAAAACAGAGACAGAGACACTGAGGGTCCCAGGGAGAGGCCTGGGGAGGTGTCAGCTCAGAACGAGGTGGGGCAGCCCCTCACCCATCCTTCTTCTCTCCAGGACAGATCCGTGGCAGACCCTCCCTCTCGGTGCAGCCGGGCCCCACGGTGGCCTCAGGAGAGAACGTGACCCTGCTGTGTCAGTC
Source organism: Homo sapiens (assembly GCF_000001405.40). Classification (NCBI taxonomy): domain Eukaryota; kingdom Metazoa; phylum Chordata; class Mammalia; order Primates; family Hominidae; genus Homo; species Homo sapiens. Next base: position 165,566 of record NT_113949.2, on the reverse strand, counting down.
ACGGGAGCAGTTGGACACTTTCCTTCTGACCAAGGAGGGGGCAGCCCATCACCCACTGCGTCTGAGATCAGAGCACCAAGCTCAGCAGCACCAGGCTGAATTCCCCATGAGTCCTGTGACCTCAGCCCACGCGGGGACCTACAGGTGCTACAGCTCACGCAGATTCTTCCCCTACCTGCTGTCTCACCCCAGTGACCCCCTGGAGCTCGTGGTCTCAGGTGAGGCCGCTGACCCTGTCCTCTCTGAGCTCAAACCTCAGCTCAGGCCCTGCCCCCAGGAGAGCTCAGGACGCTAAGGAAAGAGGGGAGTAAAGGGGGAGGGTCGGCAGGGGAGGGCCCAGCCCATGAGAGGGTGGAAATAGTCAGGGACCTCCTAATCCTGGGCTCCCACCCCAGAGACCTCAGATGGGGCTAAAGGCCAGGGAGGGCTGAAATGAGATATGGAGAAACCTTGGAGGAATCATGCTTAGGCTGAGGGTAGAAGATGGAGGCCCCACCCACTCCCCACCTGGGCTCCCCTGGCGGCCCCAAAATACTCAGTGCATACCTGAGACGAAGGGGAGATCATGCACCTGCTCACTGCAGCAATGCAGGCAAATTATTCAACAGCAAACCTCGTGTGCAATTCCTTTCTGTCCTTTATTTTTTATGTCCACATATCTAGTTTCTCTTTCTGTTTCTGAAGATTTCAAAGCAATGCTGGCATTTATAATTTACACATTTAATTTGTTAGGTAGCGTTATGATGTAAAATAACTGTGCTCTGATTTTCTTTGGGATTAAATTAAATATGTGCATTCATGATGGAGAATAACTTCTCATTAATAATGTCTTTGTATCCAATACATTTAAAATTAAACTTTATACAGTTAGCAGATGCTTGAAGTTGTATTCATAAAAATTGTGGACATTGTGAATTTTAAGCATTGTTTTACTACTTGAATAATTTGAAAGTCTTTGATTCCTTTCTATTTTCTAAAATTAGTTACGTATGGATGAGAAAGCTATTGGTTTGGGTATGCTAATTTTAGTTCCTATTAACTTACCACAGACACACTCCCTTTCAATCCTTTCCGAAATGATCTCTTCTGATTTATTGATAATAATTACATTAACCACAAGAAAATGGAGGACAAACTTGTTTGTTTCTAAATTATATAATACTCTTCTCACTTCAAATATATATGTATGTGTTTATATATACTCACACACTATTATATATCTTATAATATATATTATGTATTATATATTTATATATACACTATTATATATCTTATATATTATGTATTATATATTTATATATACCCACACATTATTATATCTTATAATATATATTATGTATTATATATTTATATATACCCACACATTATTATATCTTATAATATATATTATGTATTATATATTTATATATGCACTATTATATATCTTATATATTATGTATTATATATTTATATTACCCACACATTATTATATCTTATAATATATATTATGTATTATATATTTATATATACACACACTATTATATATCTTATTATATATTATGTATTATATATTTATATATACTATTATATATCTTATAATATATAATGTATTATATATTTATATATACACACACTATTATATATCTTATATATTATGTATTATATATTTATATATACATACTATTATATATCTTATAATATATTATGTATTATATATTTATATATATACACTATTATATATCTTATTATATATTATATATTTATATATGCACACACTATTACATATCTTATTATATATTTATATGTATACACACACTATTATATATCTTATTATATATTATGTACTATATATTTATATATACTATTATATATCTTATAATATATAATGTATTATATATTTATATATACACACACTATTATATATCTTATATATTATGTATTATATATTTATATATACATACTATTATATATCTTATAATATATTATGTATTATATATTTATATATATACACTATTATATATCTTATTATATATTATATATTTATATATGCACACACTATTACATATCTTATTATATATTTATATGTATACACACACTATTATATATCTTATTATATATTATGTACTATATATTTATATATACTATTATATATCTTATAATATATAATGTATTATATATTTATATATACACACACTATTATATATCTTATATATTATGTATTATATATTTATATATACATACTATTATATATCTTATAATATATTATGTATTATATATTTATATATACACACTATTATATATCTTATTATATATTATATATTTATATATGCACACACTATTACATATCTTATTATATATTTATATGTATACACACACTATTATATATCTTATATATTATATATTTATATATACTCACACTATATCTTATAATACATATTATGCATACACATATGCATAATACATATTATCTATACACATATGCATAATACATATTATGTATACACATATGCATAACACATATTATGTATACACACATATTTACACCTATGCATATATGTATGTATGTATGCGAATGTACCTCTGCCACGGCAGGGAAAGGTTCTATCACACAACTACAGAGCAGTTAGGAGAAGTGTAGACACAAAGGAATGCAGCAACTGAGGGACATGTTGGCTTAAGTCTCTTCAACTCCTCACACACCTCCCCCTTTTTTGGTTGATTCTCAGGAGCAGCTGAGACCCTCAGCCCATCGCAAAACAAGACAGACTCCAAGACTGGTGTGTAAGGAGATGCTCTCGGTTATGGGGCTGGCACAGAGGGTCAGGTCCTGTGAAGGGGAGGTGGGTGCCCTGGGTGGACATCCAGGGGTCCCGGGTGATGTTGATCTGCCCTGACCTCTGAGACCTCTTGGTCCACCATCCCCAGCCTCACACCCCCAGGATTACACAGTGGAGAATCTCATCCGCGTGGCTGTGGCTGGCTTGGTCCTGGTGGTCCTCGGGATTCTGCTGCTTTAGGACTGGCACAGCTAGAGAAGTCCCCAAGATGCAGCAAGGAGGTAAATACATGAGAGAACAATGCACCCTTCAGAGTGCCAGAGCCTTGGCAATGAATCTGATAGTCCTAGGAGGTTCTGGAAGAAAGTCTGGACCATCATTCGGGAAACCGTCTACTGAGAAAGTCGAGAAGGGGAGGCTTGGGTCAGGTTCAGGAAGATGTCTGGGTGCCTGTAGAGAACGCTTCCTCCATTAAACTTCCATTAAATGGCAGTGCTTTCAGTCCTGCTGTTGTGGATCCTCCGTGTCTGCCCCTCCCTTCCTTTCGCTCTCTGTGATGTGAAGGCACGTCCCCCATGGTGGGTTTGCATCCACACCCCTGCGATCACGTGCTCTGGTCCACTGTCATGTAATACATTTGTCTTTGTTTCCAACTACCGCATTCTCTAAAGTGAACTATTGATTCTCCATCTTTTCAGTTCTGAGCATAGATCTGGATTAAATAACTGGAATAGGTGGGCAGATTTGTATTTGGGACTTTGAAACATGAGTCTGAGGCCAGGCACAGTGGCTCACACCTGTAATCCCAGCACTTTGGGAGGCTGAGGTGGGCGGATCACTTGAGGTCAGAAGTTCGAGACCAACCTGGCCAACATGGTGAAACCCTGTCTCTACTAAAAGATACAAAAATTAGCTGGGTGTGGCAGTGAGCACCTGTAATCCCAGCTGCTCAGGAAGCTGAGGCGGGAGAATAGCTTGAACCCGGGAGGCGGAGGTTGCAGTGAGCCAAGATCTTGCCACTGCACTCCAGCCTGGGCAACAGAGCAAGACTCCATCTCCAAAAAAAAAAAAAAAAAGGGAAATATGAGTCTGAAATGATGCCCTAGCACCCTCTCTGGACCCTGAATTCCCTTCACTCTTCATCGGATGATACCTGTGTACTTTGTCCAGAAATATCATCTCTCAGAATGAGCACACTAACGCTCGAAGGCTCAGCCTCATGGTATTCTGTTAAACTGGCTCTCTGAAAAAATTATTTTCTTAAGAAAACTCTGAACATATAAAGCCCCAGATTTATGGTATTTGCTGATTAGTGTGGTATAAATACGTCCTTTATGGCCAACTTCAGGGTGCCCATATGACGCCATTGAATGCACAGTTGGGAAGTAGTCAAAAGAATTGTCGTTCACACGAGTATGAACCAGTTGTAAAGTTTATTTAAAGGTTATAATAATTTCTGCTTCATTCTTATGGTGTAGTTTCAGTAAAATTGTAATGTCAAAAATCATAGCACAATGGAGGGAAAAGAAAAAAATAGGCCGGGTGTGGTGGCTCATGCCTGTAATCCCAACACTTTGGGAGGCCGAGGCAGGAGGATCACCTGAGGTCAGGAGTTCGAGACCAGCCTGGCCAACATGGTGAAACGCTGTCTCTACTAAAAATACAAAAATTAGCCAGACATGGTGGCGCCTGCCTGTAATCCCAGCTACTTGGGAGGCCAAGGCACGAGAATCGCATGAACCCAGGAGGCGGAGGTTGCAGTGAGCCGAGATCACTACAGCCTGGGTGATAGAGCAAGACTCAGTCTCAAGAAAAGAAAAAAGTAGCAAAATCATTTTTTGGAAAGAATATTGAACATGTAGAATTTTAGTACATTAATAGTAAGAGTACAAATTGCTTTAATCAATTAAGGAAGTGTATTGGAATTATCTAGTTAAAAAGAGGAGGCACATGGCTGTGACCCTTCTTAATTATGTACTTAATTATGTACCCTAGAGATAAATGTCTACTTATGTGTCATGATACACTCACAACTGTTATAGGAATGCTGTTCCTATTAGCCAAAGCTATAAAATACCAAAGTCCACCTACGAAAAAAATAAACATAGTGTGGTAAATAGACTCAGTGGAATATTACAAGGTAGTAAAATGCATAAATGAAAATAACAAACAGCACCATACTTCAATTTTCAAGCATAAAGTCAAGTAAATGAAGTATTATTTGAAAATGTGTGCATGGTTATTTCATTACATAAAGGTCAAAAGGAGGGTACATTTATTATTTAGGAAAACACACCTAAGATATCTTTGTAAAATCTGTAAAATCAATAGTACTGTTTCCCCTCTTTCATTCCTTATCTTGAAAATGCTTGTCTCTTTTTCTGCCATGGCTTTCTACCTTGCTTGATATATTACAATTTTGTAACCTGCTTATTTCATCATATGTCATAAGTTCACATGTATATCCCATGAATTATTGAGGGTCTTATTCATTTCAAGTGGCATTTAGGTTTTTAAAAATATCTTTTGGCGACCAGGTGCAGTGGCTCATGCCTGTAATCCCAGCACTTTGGGAAGCCAAGGCAGGTGGATCACGAGTTCAAGAGACAGAGATCATCCTGGCGAACATGGTGAAACCCCGTCTCTACTAAAAATACAAAAAAAAAAAAAAAAATAGCTGGGCATGGTAGAGGGTGCCTGTAGTCCCAGCTTCTCAGGAGGCTGAGGCGGGAGAATGGCATGAACCCGAGAGACGGAGGTTGCAGTGAGCCGAGATCGTGCCACTGCACTCCAGCCTGGCAACAGAGTGAGACTCTGTCTCAAAAAAAAAAAAAAAAGAAAGAAAGAAAGGAAGAAAAAAAAATCTTCTGGCATTAACTATTAAGAAATTGCACTATAAAAAGAGAATATAATGCATAAGACGGCAATTTGAAAAGATTCAGATATAATTTTTTCTTATCTAGTAAATACTTAGTAATTTGTCTAATGCATGCCTTAAATACATACCACTTTATGCAGAGGTTGCCATGAGCCGAGATCGCGCCGTTGCACTCTAGCCTGGGTGGCAGAGCAAGACTCCATCTCAAAAAAAAAAAAGAAAATCTCACAGAAGGAGACCCAGAGCTTCCAGCCTCGCCCAGAGTCTTGGCTCACTCCCTGTGTGTGTGGACCCTAGGGAGCCTCTTCTGTTCCCCACAGAGGTGGAAACTTCCTCCTTAATAACCCCTTGATGGTCCCAGGCACTGGTGACCACTGAGCTTTGCTCTCTCTTTTTTCTTATGGTTCCCTGTCTACTTCCAGGGCTATCACTTTACTTTTTGTGCATTAGACCATGAATAATGTTTTAGAAACATTCTATCAAATTTCTCAGTGCTAGGAACAACTGAGGTTTTTGATTGGGTGCCTCAAATGTCTACCCTTACTGTGGAGTCCGACAACAGGATTCTAACAAGTCCCAACCCCTTCATGCCTTAACCTGGTCTGGAAATAAATTATGTTTAAGCCATCCCATACCCCAGCCACATCAAGCCCCACAACCACTCTGAGAAGTGAGATTTATAGCAAAATGCTCCAAACAAGGTAACTAAGGTTCAGACAAGGGATGTTAATGTGTCCATTTACATAAACAAAAAATGGTAGATGATCAGCTTTCCCTTTGAAATCAGAGTACTAATCTGACTCATTGTTCCCTGAATTTTAGAGGCAGGACCTCAGGAGGAGCTAAGAATCCTACCCCAGGAAAATTACCAATATCAGAAAGGAAACAATGACATCAGTACAGATCCTACAGAATTCAAAAGATTCTAAGTGGACATTATGAAGACATTATTCAGCTTAGATGAAGTGGTCACATATCACAAGAAAACAAACTGTCTAAAACAATCTCTGAAATACCTAGACATTCCCTGAATCATTGAGTTATTAAATAAAATACATTTTAAAATTAAACTCTTTTCAGGAAATAAACTTCAATGTCCCCTAGTGCACTCTCCAAAACATGTAGATAGGAATAAATACTGTTCTGAAAGACATTTCCCTGGAATTACAACCATTCAATATATTTTAAAAGGCAATCATAAAAATATAAAAAGGATATATCAGGAGAAGAAATGTAAATGGCCTAAATTCCCCACATAAAAGGCATAGAGTGGCAACGTGGATAAAAAGCCAAGAGCCAACTGCCTGCTGTCTTCAAGAGACCCATCTCACATGTAATGACACCCACAGGCTCAAAGTAAAAGGATGAAGAAATATTTACTAGGCAACCAGGAAACAAAAAAAAGGAAGGCATTCCTATTCTTATATCACATGAAACACACTTTAAATCAACAGCAATCAGGAAGGACAAAGAAGGGCATTACAAAATGATAAAGGGTTCAATTTGACAGAAGACTTAACTATTCTAAATATATATGCACCCAAATTTGGAGCACTCCGATTCATAAAACAAGTTATTCTTCACCTATGAAAAGAGTTAGACAGCCACACAATAATAGTAAGGGACTTCAGTATCCCACTAACAACGTCAGATGAATCACTAAAACAGAAAACTAACAAAGAAATTCTGGTCTTAAAGACAACACTTGACCAATTGGACCTCATAGACATCTACAGAGTACTCCACCCAACAACTGCAGAATATAGATTCTTCTTATCTGCACACACAAAAAACATATCATATTCTAAGACTGGCCACAAAGCAAGTCTCAATAAATTCAAAGAATCAAAATCATAACAAGGCACACAATAAAAATAGAAAAAAATACCAAGATGATCTCTCAAAACTACAGAAAAACATGGAAATTTAACAACTTGTTTCTGAATGAATATTAAGAGCCATCTATGACAAATCCACAGCCAACATCATATTGAATGGTCAAAAGCTGGAACTGTACCCCTTGAGAACTCTTGGGTGAACAATGAAATTAAAGCAGAAATCACAAAACATTATTTAAAATTAATAAAAATAGAAACAAACTTACCAAAACCTTTGGGATGCAGTTAAAGCAGTGATAAGAGGAAAATTTATAGCAATACATGCCTCATCAGAAGTTTAGAAAGATCTCAAATTAGTGACTTAACACTGCATCTAGAGGAACTATTAAAAAAAAGGAACAGTCCAAACCCAAGGCCAGCAAAAGATGAGAAATAACTAAAGTCAGAGAGAACTGAATAAATTGAGACCAAAAAGTCCATACAAGAGATAAATAAAACCAAGAGTTTTTCTTTGAAAAAAAATAAACAAAATTCATAGACTGTTAGCTAGATTAACAAAGAAAAAGAGAAAAGATCCAAATAAACACAAATAGAACTGACAAAACAATGTTACGAACAATCCCACAGAAATAGAAAAGATCGTCAAAGACTATTATGAACACCTCTATACAAACAAGCTAGAAAACCTAGAAGAAATGGATAAATTCCTGGTAACACAAAATTTATCATATTTCAACCAGGAAGAAAGTGAAAACCTGAACAGACCAATAACAAGTTCAGAAATTTAATCAGTAATAAAAACCCTACTAACTAAAAATAGCCCAGGACCAGACGGATTCACAGCCAAAATCCAACAGCCATACAAAGAAGAACTGATACCGATCTTACTGAAACTTTTGGAAAAAATCAAGGAGTGGGGGCTTCTTCCTAACTCATTCTATGAAGCCATCATCACCATGATACCAACATCTGTCAGAGACATAATGAAAAAAAGAAAACTACAACTAAATATCCTTAATGAACATAGACATAAAATCCTCAACAAAATGCTAGCAAATTGAATCTGTCAGTGCATCAAAAGTTAATTCACATGATCAAGTAAGCTTTATTTTTGGGATGCAAGGTTGGTTCAACCTACAAAGTCAACGAATGTGATTCACCTCATAAACATAATTAAAAACAAAAACTATATGATCATCTCAATAGATGCAAAAAAAGCTTTCTGTAAAATCCAACATCCCTTCATGATAAAAACTGTCAATAGGCATCAAAGGAACATACCTCAAAATATTAAGAGCCATCTATGACAAACCCACAGCCAACATCATATTGATGGGCAAAAGCTGGAACCATACCCCTTGAGAACCGAAACAAGACCAAGATGACCACTCCCGCCATTTTAATTCAACATGGTACTGGAAGTCCTAGCCAAAGCAATCAGGCAAGAGAAGGAAATAAAAGGCATTAAAATTGGAAAAGAAGTAGTGATACTGTCTCTCTTTGCTGATGAAATAATTTTATACATAGAAAACCCTAAAGACTCTGTCAGAAGGCTCCTGAAACTGATAAACAAATTCAATAAAGTTTCGGGATTAAAAAAATGTACACAAATTAGTAACATTTCTATGCACCACTAACATTCTAGCTGAGAACTAAATCAAGAACACAATTCCATTTACACTAGCCACAAAGAAAATAAAATACCTAGGAATCCATCTAACCAAGAAGGTGAAAATTCTCTACAAGGAGAACTACAAAACACTTCTGAAAGAAATAAGAAATGATACAAACAAATGGAAGAATATTCCATGCTCATGAATTAGGAGAACAAATAGTTAAAATCGCCATACTTCCAAAAACAAATTGCAGAGTCAATGCTATCCATTTCAAAATGCAATGTCATTTTTCACGAAATTATAAAAATTTATTCTAAAATGTATTTGGCACCAAAAAAAGAGCCTGAATACACATAGGAATCCTAAGCACAAAGAACAAAGCCCAGGCATCACATTACCCAACTTCAAACTATACTACAATGCTATAGTAACCCAAACAGCATGATACTACTACAAAAACAGACACATAGACCAATGAGACAGAATAGAGAACCCAGAAATGAGGCTACATACCTACAATCATCTTTGAAAAAATTGACAAAAACAAGCAATGTGGAAAGTACCCTTTCTTCAATAAATAGTTCTGGGATAACTGACTACTCATATGCAAAATAATAGAACTGGACCCCTAACTCTCACTATATACAAAAATTAACCCAAGATAGTTTAAAGATTTAAATGTAAAACCTCAAAATATTAAAATTCTAGAAGAAAACCTAGGAAATATCCTTCTCAAGATAGACTTTGGCAAAGAATTTATGGCTAACTCCCCAAAACCAATTGTGACAAAGACAGAAATTGGGACCTAACTCAACTGAAGAGCTTCTGCACAGCAAACGAAAGTATCAACAGAGTAAACAGATAACCTACAGACTGGGAGAAAATATTTGCAAACTATGCATCTGACAAAGTTCTAATATCCAGAATCTATAAGGAATGTAAACAAATCAACAAGCAGAAAACCAAAAAACCTCAATTAAGTATGACATGAACAGACACTTCTCAAAAGAAGATGTACACATGGCCAAAAAACATATGAACAAATGCTTATTATCAGTAATCATCAGAGAAATGCAAATTAAAACCACAGTGAGATACCATCTCACAACAATCAGAGAAGCAGAAGCAATTACTAAAAAGTTTTTTGTTTTTTTTAATAACAGATGCTGACAAGATTGTGGAGAAAAGGGAACACTTATACACTCTTGGTGGGAATGTTAACTAGTTCAGCCAATGTGATAAGCAGTTTGGAGACTTCTCAAATAACTTAAAATAGAACTACTATTCAATCAAGCAATCCCACTACTGGGTATATACCAAAAGGAAGGTAATTAACTATGTCAAAAAGACACATGCACTAGTATATTCATTGCTGTGCAATTCAGAATAGCAAAGATTTGCAGTCAACCTAAGTGCTCACCAACAGTGGATTAGTTAAAGAAAATGTGCTACATATACACATGGAACATTACATGGCCATAAAAAATAATGAAATCATGTCCTTTGCAGCAACATGAATGTAGCAGGAGGTCAATCTCCTAAGTGAACTAACCCAGGAACAGAAAACCAAATACCACATGTTATCACTTATAACTGAGAACCAAACATTGAATACACATGAACATAAAGATGGAAACAACAGATACCGAGGACTACAGATGGGGGGAGGAGTAGGGAGGTATAGGCTGAAGAAACACCTGTTGGATTCTATGCTCATTGCCTGGGTGATGGCATTGTTGGAACCACAAACCTCAGAGTCACACAATATGCCTATGTAACAAACCTGCATGCATACCTTTAATCTACAGTAAAGGTTGAAGTTATTTAAAAATAGGAAGAAGAATTACCCTATACCTAAAGCTAAGATTTTTCCCTTTGAATATTCGTTTCTTCATCACTGTAGATAAGCAGGGAAAGAAAAATTATTATACTATACTAGCCTTTTATGTGACCATGAGGATTTGGGGTAGGTAGGTGGACAGCTTAGATAATTCACCAGGATATTGATACAGGCTCCATGGCTGGAAATAACCAAGGATGAGTGCTGTGTTTTGAGTGGTCTCCCCCAGAAACGTTTGTTGAAATCCTAACCCCTGGTATGTATGAATGTGAATTCATATTATATAAAAAGGAATAAATAGCCTGAGCACAGTGGCTCACACCTGTAATCCCAGCACTTTGGGAGGCCAAAGCAGGTGGATCATTTGAGGTCAGGAGTTCTGGCCAATATGGCAAAACTTCATCTCTACAAAAAAAAAATACAAAAAAAAAAATTGGCTGGGTATGGTGGCGCATGCCTGTAGTCCCAGCTACTCAGGAGGCTGAGGCAGGAATTGCTGAAACCTGGAAGGCAGAGGTTGCAGTGAGCCAAGATCATGCCACTGCACTCCAGCCTGGGTGAGACGGCAAGATATTCTGTCAAAAATAAATAAATAAAAAACAGAAGAAGAAATACAAGAATGACAGCAAACTTTGTATTCAAAACTATGAAAGTAAGAAACAGGTGGACCAACATTTTTAAAGTGCTACAAGAAAATATTTCAAACTAGAATCTTTCAACCTGAAAAGGAAAACATTTTCCTGCAATAAAGGTGCCATTAAAAATGTCTCACAATTTATTACATGAAGCATTGTTCTACAATAAATGTTAAGCTCTTGAAGCAAAGATTAATGATACCATTTAGTAACTTGAAATTCAAAAAAGTGGAAGTATCCCAAGAGGCAAATACGTGTGCAATTATTAAATGTTTCATATCAACACCCAACCTTATGCTGTCTACATAAGCTGCACTTCAAATACTAATCCACAAGATGTAAATATTGAAAGAATGACATTACCTTGTCATGATAATGCCCAGTGCAAAATATGCTTCTAGTCAGTTGTATACATAGAATAGGTAAATGTTTGTAATAAAAAGTATTCCTCAATAGAAGTTTCTTAACTCAAAGAATGAAATATTTCACCATGCACATACAAAGAAGAGATATATGGAGATATGAAGAGGAGTACTTCATAATGACAAAGAGGCAAATTCATAAATAAGACATAATCATCCTAAATGCCTACACACTTAAAGCTGGAACCTCAAAACACATTAAATTAAAGGCATAATTCAAAACATAATCAATCACATCCAAATTGCAGCTAGAGATAGCAACATTCACCTCACTTCCAGAACAAGTACACAGAAAATTATTAAGCATATGAAAGACTTGAAAAACATTTGTGTAGGCGGCGGGTGCATAAGGTTGGGTGTTGATATGAAACATTTAATAATTTCAATAATCCTAGCACTTTGGGAGGCCAAAATGGGAGGATCACTTGAGGCCAGGAGTTTGAGACCAGCCTGGGCACCATAGTGAGACCCCGTCTCTATTTTTTTTAAATAAAGAAAAACATTTGAATGATTTTTTTCTTAACTGACATTTAGAAAACATCCACCTCAAATCTTCCTAATCCACAAACTTGTCTAGCACCCCTGGAACATTCACCAAAATAAATTTTTAAATGCTGAATCATAGGTAATATGATAGATGAAACAGTTGAATTAAATTATAAATGTACAACAAGGAAATGCTGGGGAAATTATCAAATATTTTAAAATTAATAAACACACATAGCAATAAACAATGAGTGGAAGAAAAACATTTCAAAGAAAGGTGGAAAATATTTTGTATCAATTAAAAATGAAAACACATCTCGGCAAATGACTGGGGATACAGATAGAACAGCGTTAAGGGACAATAAGCCTCAAATGTCTGTGTTAGAAAAGAAGGAAGAGCTGAGTAAATAGGTAACTTTCACTTGCAGAAATACTACACATCAGCAAATTAATTCCAAAGTAACGTCGAGGAAAAACATAAAATGGCAAGCAAATATATACGTGCATATGTACATACATTCATAAATGACAAACAGGACAGAAAAATCAGTGACATCAATTTTGTTCCTTAGAAGAAACAGGAAAATTGACCCCAAAAAACTTTCCAGGCCACATTTGGTCATGATGGAAATATTTTGGCACTTCCTGGTTAAGCTCAACACCAACTTGCACCCAAAACCAATAATTTCATTTCTAGGTAAATATGTCTAATTAATTCAGCATATGTATGCAAGGGATCACACAGAAACACGATTATCAAGGCCCGAGTTATAAAAGAGAAAATCCGGAAACAACACAAATGTCCATGATAAAAAGAATGGATAATTACATGTTGATAAAGTTATGCATGGACTATTAAACTGCAATCCAAAAGAATAAAATAGAGCTATAAAATTCAATATGTATATGGTGTCATAGAAACACAAATGTGAGAAAAAGAAAGAAAAATACAAAATTTATATTTTTTAAAATTTGAAACAACTATATATGTGAGTGCTTAGGGTGTGTGTGTGTGTGTGTGTGTGTGTGTATAACCATATGTATATAAATGCACACATACGCACACATATAGAATGTCCCGGCCAGGCATGGTGGCTCACACCTGTAATCTCAGCACTTTGGGAGGCTGAAGTAGACAGATCACTTGAGGTTAGGAGTTCAAGACCAGCCTGGCCAACATGGAGAAACCTCCTCTCTACTAAAAGTACAAAAATTAGGTGGGCGTGGTGGTGGGTGCCTGTAAATCCAGCTACTTAGGAGGCTGAGGCACGAGAATTGCGTGAACCTGGGAGGTGGAGGCTGCAATGAGCCGAGGTCTCACCACTGCATTCCAAACTGGGTGACGAAGTGAGATTGCATCTCAAAAAAAAAAAAAGTTCTAAAAGTTGTGACTTGGGTGTGGCAGATTGTGACATACTGCCAGCTGCTAGAAATGCTGGGGCAGGAGGATTGCTTGAACTCTGAAGTCAAAGAACAGCCTGGGGAAAATAGCACATGAAGAAGAGTTTGAATCTCAGATAAAAACAACAAAAATACATCAAAAGTCTTTAATGTAAGCCAAGCATTCAGTCATCTCCTGTATGAGAGATTGGATCTGAGACGTGTTTTGAGTTGGTTATAGTGAAGGATGCAAGGTGTCAATTCTAGTTGGAACAATTTCCAGGAAGCCATGTTCTGCTCTTGACCAAACAGCCACTGGGCCTCATGCAAGGTAGAAATAGCCTGCATACGTCATCCTCCCATGATGTGGTCAGCATGTAAACTGCATGAGCCCCTCACAACATCCTGTGTGCTGCTGAACTGAGCTGGGGCGCAGCCGCCTGTCTGCACCGGCAGCACCATGTCGCTCATGGTCGTCAGCATGGCGTGTGTTGGTGAGTCCTGGAAGGGAATCGAGGGAGGGAGCGGTGGGGTGGAGATCTGGGCCTGGAGTGGAGATATGGGCCTGGAGTGGAGATATGGGCCTGGAGTGGAGATATAGGCCTGGAGTGGAGATATGGGCCTGGGGTGGAGATATGGGCCTGGAGTGGAGATATGGGCCTGGAACTGTAGATATGGGCCTGAAGTAGAGATATGGGCCTGGAGTAGAGATATGGGCCTGGAACTGTAGATATGGGCCTGGAGTGGAGATATTGGCTTGGAGTGCAGATATGGACCTGGAATTGAGATACGGGCCTGGAGGTGGAGATATGGGCCTAGAGTGGAGATATGGGCCTGGAGGTGGAGATATGGGCCTGGAACTGTAGATATGGGCCTGGAGTAGAGATATGGGCCTGGAGTGGAGATGTTGGCTTGGAGTGCAGATATGGGCCTGGAATGGAGACACGGGCCTGGAGGTGGAGATACAGGCCTGGAGGTGGAGATATGGGCCTGGAGTGTAGATATGGGCCTGGAGTAGAGATATAGGACAGAGGTGGAGATATAGGCCTGGAGTGGAGATATGGGCCTGGAGTAGAGATATAGGACGGAAGTGGAGATATGGGCCTGGAGTGGAGATATGGGCCTGGAGGTGATGTACAGATGGATCATCCATCATGATCTTTCTTTCCAGGGTTCTTCTTGCTGGAGGGGCCCTGGCCACATGTGGGTGAGTCCTTCCCCCAAACCTTAGGTTGTCATCTCCCCACATAAGATGATGTTCCTGAAACGGGAGGCAGGCGACACAGGGGGTTGACTGATGGGCTGACCATGGGAAGCCATGTGGGAATCTCTCATGAACTAGGAAAAGGAAGCCAGGGGAAGCTTCGCCACAGTTCTGTCCTAGCCCTCCCCGGCCTTTCTTTCCCTTGGCTGAGTCTGTGGGGACCCAGGGGGAGACTGAAGTGCTCAAAGGAGTGGTGTGCAGGGAGGAAGTGGTGTCACCGGCAGAGGAAGGGAGAGAAGCAGTGCAAGGAACAACAGGCCTCTGAGGACAAGAGCATAACTCACACCCTCCAGCGTTTCCATGACGGTAGGGGCTGCAATGTGGCTGCTGTCATTCTACCTAAGAGGTGGGGGAACCACAGTCATGACCCTGACATTCCAGATCTTCTAATAGGGGCTCAGTTGTTTATTATGGTTCATGCATTAGCTGATCATGCCCTCCATCCTGTGTCTACCTTGTGTTCTTTTATGTAAGTAATTTTGCAGTGTTAAAATCTAGTAAGAGTCGCTTCTTCAGCACCTGCTCAAAGTTCTCAGCTGACACTTGCTGTAGGGAGACGCCATGTCTATGCGGGATGGGTCCTTCCTGTAGCCCTGGGCACCCAGGTGTGGTAGGAGCCTTAGAAACGTGGAAATGGGAGAATCTTCTGAGCACAGGGAGGGAGGGGCGGCTCCACATCCTCCTCTCTAAGGTAGTGCCTCCTTCTCCCCCAGGTGGTCAGGACAAGCCCTTCCTCTCTGCCTGGCCCGGCACTGTGGTGTCTGAAGGACAACATGTGACTCTTCAGTGTCGCTCTCGTCTTGGGTTTAACGAATTCAGTCTGTCCAAAGAAGACGGGATGCCTGTCCCTGAGCTCTACAACAGAATATTCCGGAACAGCTTTCTCATGGGCCCTGTGACCCCAGCACATGCAGGGACCTACAGATGTTGCAGTTCACACCCACACTCCCCCACTGGGTGGTCGGCACCCAGCAACCCTGTGGTGATCATGGTCACAGGTCAGAGGCTTTCTGTCTGGGCTTCTCACTGTCCCACCTCCTGAATCCCAGAGCTTCTGGTGGGGGTGTCCATCAGGGTCCAATCATCCAGGCCCAGACTGTATTTGGGGTAAAGGGGGATTCAGTACAGAGAAATAGTTGCTGTGGTGGGAAGAATAATTGTCCCCAGTGATGGCTACATGGTAATCCATGAACCCTGTGACTATTTATGTCATAGGGCAGGGGACTGAAGGGGAAGATGGAGCTCAGGTTGTTGATGGGTTGACCTTGCGATGGGGAGACAGCCTGGACTGTCCTGCTGTGCTCAGAGTAATCACAAGGGTCCTCATGAGAGGAGGAGGAAGAGGAAAGTGGGGTTAGAGCAACGTCGTGGGAGGGAGACTCCATCAGCCACAGCGGGCTTTGAAGATGGGGGAAGGCCATGAGCCACAAAGGCAGTTGGCCTCTAAGGGCTGGAGAAGTCAAGGGAACTGATTCTTCCCTGAGTCTCCAGAGGAAACACAGCCCTGTAGATGCCTTGATTTTAGCCCAGAGAGAACTGGGTCCGATTTCTGTTCTCCAGAAGTGGAAGGGGTCATTGTATTCTCTCTTGCCCCATGTTTGTGACAATTTTCTCCAGCAGCAACAGGAAACCAACACAGGAACCCAGGTGAAGCACAAGTTAAGAAACCAAACAAGGAGAAGGTTGGCTACACTGATTTTAGCATGGGTGGGATACTGATGCTACCACCAGGCTCGATCCACATAGGGAGGGGTTGATGCTCCTGGAACCAGCACCAGGGGCCACCCTATGGAAGCTGGGGCCATGGAGAAGGCACAGACATGACAGGAGAGGCTCCCAATCCCCATCAGGAACAGGGACACTGATGCCTGCCTTACTGATGAGTTCGTACCTCCTGCCAGCCTTTCCAATCTGTCCAAAAGAGATTGATTCAGGCTGCTAAGAGCCTGGACATGCAGCCTGTCGTGGTTCCTCTTCCACCCCCACATAAACACCAGGAAAGAGATTAGTGGGAAACAGATACAACAGCATAAGAGGTGACACTGAGCACAGTGGGAAGGGAATCAGGGCTACTAGAGACAGAGAGACAGGGAAGAGGGAGGGAGACAGATGGAGGGACCTGCAACAGGGGTTATGGGCACAAAAGAACACGGAGACACAGAGAGGAAGGAGAGAGATAGACACCATGGAGGGGAAGCCTCACTTATTTCAGGTCCCATGAATGGGATGAGAAAGGGAGACGCCTTCTGAACTCACAACCTCTCTTCTTAGGAGTCCACAGAAAACCTTCCCTCCTGGCCCACCCAGGTCCCCTGGTGAAATCGGGAGAGACGGTCATCCTGCAATGTTGGTCAGATGTCAGGTTTGAGCGCTTCCTTCTGCACAGAGAGGGGATCACTGAGGACCCCTTGCGCCTCATTGGACAGCTCCACGATGCGGGTTCCCAGGTCAACTATTCCATGGGTCCCATGACACCTGCCCTTGCAGGGACCTACAGATGCTTTGGTTCTGTCACTCACTTACCCTATGAGTTGTCGGCTCCCAGTGACCCTCTGGACATCGTGGTCGTAGGTGAGAGAATACAGACCTGCCTCTCACCCTTGCTGGGAGATGGAGTGAATGATCTAGGACTGGAAGCCCCAGGTGGTCATGAGGAAGATGAGTGTGGGGTTCCTATGGAGAGAAAGTGACTTGGTGAGGTCTGTACCAACAAAGGCAGAGAAACAGGAGACACAAGTACAGACCTCATGTCATAACATAGAAGCCAGACACAGGGGCCATACAAGGTGTTAGAAAAAGAGATAAAGAGGTAAAGAAGACACAGAGAGACAGATATATCCCAGAGAGAGGTGTCCTTCTATGCTGACTTTGTTCAGAGACCAGGCACAGGTTAGAAGGTTCCATTCTGTTTTACCTCTACAAAGTGTTCTCTCCCAGGAGAACCCAAAGAGACACATCTATCTGGCCTGAGTTGGGCCGTGTGGCCCCAGGCTGGTGGCACCTACAGATGCTGTGTTTATTCTTAAACCTCTGCCTTCCGTGCAGTGGAGCTGTCGTCGTCGCAGGACACCATGGCCCCAGGTGAGGGAGCAGAACACCAACCCCTGTATGTTGTGAGTTCCTGGAGTCCCCATACTGGATTCTGAGGCTCATATTCAAATAGCACCACATGTTATAGGATTACTGAGAACAAAAGCCCACAGAGAGACACGGAGTGAAATCAGGGAAATCAAAAAGCAAAGACATGAACACACACACAGAATGAGCCAGAAGAAGGGAATTGAGAGACTCACAGACACATAAAGAGATAGAAAAAGAGGGCAGAGAAGTGGAGCGTATGATGGAAGGAAGCAGAGAAAAGCCCTAAAATCAGAGCCCTGAGGGAGGGGCACAAAGACAGGGAAAGATAAAGATGTGGGGATGGATTGCAGAGACTCCAAAAGGGAACTAGAGAGACTGAGAGGCAGAGAAAGACAAGGAGATGGAGAGAGACAGATGATAGATGGATAGATAGATATAGATAGATGAAAGATAAAAGGTAGATGATAGATAATAGAGAGACAGGTGATAGACAAATAGATGATGAATGACTGATAGATGATATAGATAGACAAGTAGAAAGACAGACAGATGATATATAAATAGATATAGAGAGATAGAAAGATAAACACATGATGATAGATGGATAGATGCATACATACATACATTGATTGATAGATGATAGATAACAGAGAGATAGGTCATAGATACACAGATGATGATAGATGATAGATACATACATAGATAAATGATAGATCGATCAATAGATAGTAGATAGAAATATGCAGAAAGTTATGAGCAAGACAGAAAGTGAGAGACTCAGAATTAAAGAAAGAGGAAGATCAAGTCAACCAGTCCAAGGAGGGTCAGAGAGAATAAAATGGTACAAAAAAAGAAAACATAGCTAGGGATGGAGAAGTGAGGTCAGAGACCTAGAGAGACAGAGAAGGTGGAAGGAGGAAATAGACATGAAGAGAGATGGGGGTGGAGGGTGAGAGAGAGAAAGAGAGCATTAAGTCATAGAGCAGGGGAGTGAGTTCTCAGCTCAGGTGTGAGGAGAGCTGTGACAACGAAGAACCTCCCTGAGGAAACCACCTCTTCTCCTTCCAGGTCTATATGGGAAACCTTCTCTCTCAGCCCAGCCGGGCCCCACGGTTCAGGCAGGAGAGAATGTGACCTTGTCCTGCAGCTCCCGGAGCTTGTTTGACATTTACCATCTATCCAGGGAGGCAGAGGCCGGTGAACTTAGGCTCACTGCGGTGCTGAGGGTCAATGGAACATTCCAGGCCAACTTCCCTCTGGGCCCTGTGACCCACGGAGGGAACTACAGATGCTTCGGCTCTTTCCGTGCCCTGCCCCACGCGTGGTCAGACCCGAGTGACCCACTGCCCGTTTCTGTCACAGGTGAGAAAACACCATGCCTGTCCCATGTCTTGTGATCCTAGAGCCATAGCTGAGGAGCTTCCTGCTGATGATGGAGAGAAGCATGGACAGATGCCGAGACAGAACACACAGCATGGGTGTAAGGGCGGGGTCAGGGGGCAGGATGGCAGACAGGGCACCTCCAAACCCTCCTGTATGGCCTGCAAGGAGGCCCTTGATCAGGGTTCCAGGCACCCAGGCAGATGGAGAAAGAGGTCAGAACAGACCCAGAGGAGGGAGACTGGGCTCTGCCTGGGGAGATCAGAGGTTCTCTCAGCCCCTCAACCTTACCCACTTCCCAGAAGCCCATCCTGGCCTGTCACCCACAGAGAGATGTCATCACCAGCAACGCCTACACCCTTTTCTTTTTGTTTGAAGAAATATTTATTGAGGTGAAATATACCTATGTAATTTACCACCTTTACCATTTTTAAGTGTGAAGTCTACTGTTCATAAATACATTTATAGGCTGGGCACGGTGGCTCACTGTTGTAATCCCAACACTTTGAGAGGCCAAGGCAGGTGGATCATTTGAGATCAGGGGCTCAAGACCACCCTGGCCAACATGGGGAAAATCCATCTGTACTAAAAATACAAAATAATAATAATAATGATAATAATTAGCCGAGCATGGTGGCACATGCCTGTAGTCCCAGCTACTTGGGAGGGTTGGGCAGGAGTTGCACTTAATTGCAGGAGGCGGAGGTTGCAGTGAGCTGAGATCATGCCACTGCACTGCAGCCTGGGCAACAGAGAGAGACACTCTCTCAAAATTAATTAATTAATTAATTAGTATTCTTTTTTTTTTACCCTCCACCCTTCCCTTCCTGGCCTCTGGTAGCCACCATTCTACTCTCTACCTTTGTGAGATCCACCTTTTAGCTCCTGCATATGAGTGAGAAATGGAAATACTTGTAATGACCTCCAGTTCCATTCATGTGGCTGTAAATGACAGGATGTTACTCTTTCTATGGATGAGTTGTCCCTATTGTGTGTGTGTACCACATTCTCTCCATCCATTCACCCACTGATGGGCAGGTAGGTTGATCCACATCTTGGCTACTGTGAACACTGCTGGAACAGTCATGGGAGTGCAGATGTCACTTCGATACGCTGATGTCCTTTCCTTTGGGTTTACACCCAGTCATGGAATTGCTAGATCCTCTGGAAGTGTCTTTTTACATTTTGTTTTATGGTTTTTGTTTTTGTTTTTGTTTTTTTTAGACAGTTTCACTCTTGTTGCCCAGGCTGGAGTGCAGTGGTGCCATCTGGGCTCACTGCAACCTCCACCTCCAGGATTCAAGAGATTCCCCAGCCTCAGCCTCCCAAGTAGCTGGGTTACTGGCTCCCACCACCACACTCGGCTAATTTTTATATTTTTAGTAGAGACAGAGTTTCGCTATATTGGCCAGGCTGCTCTTCAACTCCTGACCTCAAGTGACCTACCCACCTCGGCCTCCCAATGTGCTGGGATTACAGGCATGAACCACTGTGCCCGACCTCATTTTATTTTTTGAGGAACTTCCATACTCTTCTCCTCTGTAATGGCTGTACTAATTTGCATTCGTATCAGCAGTGTACCAGATGCAACCCTGGTTGACTCAGCAGAGCAAGAGACGTGCAGTAAGAGAGAATTTAGCTTATTTATGCACACGACACTTCCACTCACTCACTCGTTCAGCCAATGCCCCATGCTCTGGCTGTGCAGTGTGGAATCTTTTCCTATTGTTGCCATAACAAATTTCCACAAGCTTCGTGGATGAAAACATGTTTTTCTTAATTATCTCACAGTGCTGTAACTCAGAAGTATGAACTGCATTTCACTGGGCTGATATCAAAGGGACAGTAAGGCTGGATTTCTTTTTAAGGTTCCAAGCAAGAATCTGCTCCTTAACGTTTCCCAGCTCCTAGAGGCTCCCACGTTCCTGGGCCCCTGGTCCCCTTCCTCCTTCCTCCTTCCTCAAAGCCCACAAAGGCTGGTCACGTCTCACATGGCATCATTCAGACTCTTCTTCTTTACCCATACCTTTTTCTCTGAATCCTGCTCTGCCTTCTTCCTCATCTTTTAAGGACTTTGGGATTCTATTGGGGTCACCAAGATAATCCATCTCAATCTCCCTAAAATCATCCAGCGTACCCTCTTTTTAAGTTCAGCTGATTAGCAACCGTAATGCCATCTGCAATCTTCATTCCTCCTTTCCTGTAAAATAACATATTCACAAGCTATGGAGGCTAAGACAGGGACATTTTGGGGGTGGGGCAGCATTCTCCTGCCTTCCACAAATGGTAAACAGGATGCATTTGGCCTCTGCTCTTGGGACGCTGATATTGCAGATGGGTAAATGCGAGGGCAGAGAATGAATGCACAAGGGTACCAATAAATGAATGATCCATTGGGAAGCATCTGTGCACCAAATCTGGGGTTTTTTGTGTGTGTGTGTGTTTTTTGTTTTCTTTTTTTTTTTTGAGTAGAGTCTCTCTCTGTTCCACAGGCTGGAGTGCAGTAGCACAATCTCAGCTCATTGCAACCTCTGCCTCCTGGGTTCATGCAATTCTCCTGCCTCAGCCTACCGAGTAGCTGGGATTACAGCTGTGCGCCACCACACTCGGCTAATTTTTTTGGTATATTTTTTAGTAGAAATGAGGTTTCACCATGTTGTGCAGGCTGTCTCAAACTCCCAATCTCAAGTGATCCCACCGCCTTAGCGTCCCTAAGTGCAAAGATTACAGGCGAGAGCTACTGCGCCCAGCCAGGATTTAAAATAAGTAATAGATAATGCTGAGTATATAATTTCAGGTGACAGAGAAGGTCTCACTGATCAGATAATATTTGTGACCTTAATGGAAAAAATGGATTCAACCCTTGGAAGATTGGCGGAAGGATTTTCCACACTGAGCTCTCAGCCGTGAAGGCACAAAGGTGGAAACATTCTTAGTTCAAGGAAGAGGCTCTGCCTCAAATGCTGGGAATGAGATGGGGAGAATGACAAGACAACTGTAGAGAGATGGAGAGCACACTGGGTACACAGGAAACTAAGGAGGAACAAGGAGCATGTTTTTGATACTCACAGCCCTTGGATTCAACTCAGAGCTAACTAGGAATCCCTACCTGATTAACAGTGACCGACATGAAAATAAGGGAGGCCCAGGTGCGTAACTGGAATCTAGGAGACCGTGGAAAAGGCAATTCCCGCCCCACTGGTGAAACGTAGGGTTGATTTACACACTAAATGAATGAAAGATGGATATAAGCTATGCTTGTGAGGTAGAATCATTTGCAGGGAGGGCTTGCTGGGTTTGATTTTTCCTAGTAGTTTAATCCTTGTTTCATTAATTTCTTTCTGAGATGTGTTTTTTTTCTACATCTAAATCAATACCTGGCAGAGGAGCGATAGACACATGAGGGGTGGTGCAAATGAAGGGACCTAGTATAATATAATATACAAGACTGTGGATGGGGGCTCACACCTGTAACCCAACACTTTGGGAGGCCAAGGCGGGTAGATCACTTAAGGGTAGGAGTTTGAGACCAGCCTGGCCAACATGGTGAAACCCCGTCTGTACTAAAAATACAAAAATTAGCCTGGTGCATTGGCACCTGCCTGTAATCCCAGCGACTGGGGAGGCTGAAGCAGAAGAATGGCTTCAACCCTGGAGGCAGAGGTTGAACTGAGATCGCATCACTGCACTCCAGCCTGACACAGGGGGACTCTGTCTCAAAAAATAAAAATAAAACATACATAATTATGACACACAGAAATTACAAAGGCAACTGGATACCAACCATCATTTTTCTATTTCTCTGTGTTTAATTCTTTGACCCTTTATCTTATCCATTAAACAATCAGGTTAAACCTCTTCCTTATTTGGCTTTCTGTGAGCTTGGGATCATATGGAAAATGTGAAAGCCTCCTGAACCCACCAGCACAGGTCCTGGAATAGAGAACATGCTCTGTTCATGGCATAAAACTTGCCCCTTCACCCAAATCCCCCAATTCATCTCTACTTCCAATCACCTATGGAGATACAGATAGATCATGGGGAGGTAAACACTAATACTCTTTGGAGTGAGCTCAGATCTTGGACTCAGAGACCAGTGCCAGCACTAGCCCCTGGTCACATTTCGTACTAACTCACAGAAGGACAGGCTGTATTGAAACAATAAACGACGGAGAGGGCGGTCCTTCCCCGTGCTTCTCGGGTGGAATAGCAGCCTAATATATGTCTCAGCAGATCACAAAAAGTAGCATGTTGTTCCTGGGCTACATCATTATTTCATGGCTGTTTGATTTAAGTCAGTTCTACTTCACTTTTTTTATCTTGATTTCATTTTTTCTTTCTTTTCTTGGAGAATGTAATTTTTTTGAGTCAAGAGGGTTGTGGTGGTAGAAACTGTAAAGCACATTCGCTGTGTATCAATCCCAATCCAGTCTTCCCAGAGAAGACTCTAAACACCTCCTGGAATGTACCTGGGCCTATACCAATTCCTATCACTCACCGTCACTCCAGGGAGACAGAACACACAGAGAACACATTACACAGGCAGGTTCATTACTAACAGATAAGCAGCGAGTGACAACAGAAGCCTACATTTCAATGTGAGCCAGTCCCTCAAGGCTCAGAAAAGCTGCTCGAGACATGTGGAGTCACCCCATATGCAGTGTATCTGGGGGAAATCAAAAAGCAGCCCAGCCTGGGTTTTGTACCCTGGAGCCACAGGAAGCACTCAGCTAAAGCACTGCATGACGTCCTCCTCCAGGAAGAACAGGAAGACAGCCCAGGCTGTTCTGGGATGTTCCTCCTGATCTCAGGACTTTGCTGTCTTAGTCCATTTTTGTTGCTCTAAAGGAACACTTGAGCCTGGGTAACTTCTAAAGAAAAGAAATGTGTTTGCCTCACAGTTCTGCAGGCTGTACTGGAAGCATGGCACCAGCATCTATTTCTTGTGACGGCCTCAGGCTGCTCCCGCTCTGGCAGAAGGGAAGGAGGGTCTATCTGTGCAGAGACCACAGAGATCACACGGCAAGAGAGGGAGCAAGGGGGAGGGGGAGCGATGGAGCTTCCAAGTTCTTTTTAACAACCAGCTCTCCAGGAACTAATAGAGGGGGAACTTGCTAACCCCATCTCCTTGGGACAGCATTGATCTGTTCATGATGGATCCACCTCCATGACCCAAACACCTCCCAAGAGGCCCAACCTCCCACCCTGGGGGTTACATTTCAATGTGAGGTTTGAAGTGGTCAAACATCTAAACTAAAGCAGTTGTATCCTCAGCACGTTCTATGGTTACTACAACTGAGAAAGCAGGAGGAAGCTAGGTCTCCCGCCATCTGGGTGCTTGTCCTAAAGAGACGTTGTATGTGGTTACCTGTCAATCAAGAAATGTGAGACAATTCATATAGAGGAACTGCTATGATTAGCTTCTTATTGGTGTCTTGTCTTCCTCCAGGTAACTCCAGATACCTGCACGCTCTGATTGGGACCTCAGTGGTCATCATCCCCTTTGCTATCCTCCTCTTCTTTCTCCTTCATCGCTGGTGTGCCAACAAAAAGAGTAAGTCTCACGAAGCAGAAGCCAGAGAGCTCAGGGCCATGTGGGGAAGCAGGATGGGAGCACTCAGGTGTGTGTTCCTTACAGGCAGGATGGTCCCTGACCCAAGGCAGGAGCCACAGAGGCAGGACTTTCTAGAGAGAGCACCAGACTCCCTGCCCCTGCCTTCAGCTCACAGACCATTGCCTGATTCTGAACCATATCCTCACATCCCCTGCAGCCACTCACATCCAGGAGAAGGTTCCATGACAGGCAGAAAGTGGGAGACAGAATCAATGGGATGGGAACTCAGAGCTATTCATGGGATGGGTCCTTGAGCTCAGAGAGATAGAATGTCTGAGTCTGCTGTTGGCAACTGAGGGACCTCAGGCACCTATGGCCTCCCCCTGCATGTTGGTATCTGCTTATGAAATGAGGACCCAGAAGTGCCCTCCGAGCTGTTTTGACGACTTCCGTCTTCTACAGATGCTGTTGTAATGGACCAAGAGCCTGCAGGGAACAGAACAGTGAACAGGGAGGTAGGTGCTCCTCAGCCCAGCCTCATGGCTAGTCTTATTCCCAAAGAGTCCTGAAAAATGTGAGCACCCTCCCTCACTCAGCATTTCCCTCCCTCCAGGACTCTGATGAACAAGACCCTCAGGAGGTGACATACGCACAGTTGAATCACTGCGTTTTCACACAGAGAAAAATCACTCGCCCTTCTCAGAGGCCCAAGACACCCCCAACAGATACCAGCGTGTAACACGGAACTTCCAAATGCTGAGCGCAGATCCAAAGTTGTCTTCTGTCCACCAGCACCACAGTCAGGCCTTGATGGGATCTTCTAGGGAGACAATAGCCCTGTCTCAAAACCGGGTTGCCAGCTCCCATGTACCAGCAGCTGGAATCTGAAGGCGTGAGTCTGCATCTTAGGGCATCGCTCTTCCTCACACCACGAATCTGAACATGCCTCTCTCTTGCTTACAAATGTCTAAGGTCCCCACTGCCTGCTGGAGAGAAAACACACTCCTTTGCTTAGCCCACAATTCTCCATTTCACTTGACCCCTGCCCACCTCTCCAACCTAACTGGCTTACTTCCTAGTCTACTTGAGGCTGCGATCACACTGAGGAACTCACAATTCCAAACATATAAGAGGCTCCCTCTTAACACGGCACTTAGATACATGCTATTCCACCTTTCCTCATGTTGTTCCACCTTTCCTCAGAGTATCTTTCAGCCTTCTGTCAGCAGTAAAACTTATAAATTTTTTTTATAATTTCAATGTAGTTTTCTATTCTTCAAGTAAACATGTCTGCCCTCATGGTTTCGTCAATGGGACTCTTTTCTTGCCTAAGGCTTCCGGTGTTATCATTACCACGTCCACATAACCCCATCTGTTCTCCGCTGGGTTCTCACCCCTGGACTCTGAGCTTCTGGAAGCAGGGTGGAGCCTGAATTGTCTCTGAGACTCCAGTTTCCATCCAAAGATGCAGCACATAGGAGGTTCCAAGGATGGTGAATCAGATGAACAAGTGATATTCTTACTCTCTGCAGATCTGGAAAGCTGGCAGAGTCATTCCACGATGAAACATTTGTAGAGTCATAGGCCTTGTTAGTCTCATCTCCACAGGGACACGTATCAACACATCATCTTTCATACTACTATAAATAGACAGTCACTCCTCCATATCTCTGGGGTTTACACATGTTTATTGAATCAGCAATAAATCAAAAATATTTTGAGAAAAAAAATCCCCGAAGTTTCAAAAAGCAAAAAACTATGTTGAATCGACACAAATTGAGTGGCGTGTAGGCTGTGTCAGGAATTATAAGTAATCAAGAGATGATTTCATGTATACAGGAGGATGTGCATGGGTTCTATGCAATTGCTATGCTATTTTTTTTTTTGAGACAGTCTCACTCTCTCACCCAGGCTGGAGTGCAGTGGCGTGATCTCAACTCACTGCAACCTCCGCCTTCCAGGTTCAAGCGATTCTCTTCCCTCAGCCTCCTCAGTAGCCTCCCCTAGGATTACAGGCACGTGCCACCCTGCACAGATAAATTTTTTTGTGTGTGTATTTTTAGTAGAGACGGGGTTTCAGAATGTTGGACCAGCTGGTCTTGAACTCCTGACCTTGTGATCTACCCAGCTCAGCCTCCCAAAGTGCTGGGATTACGGGCGTGAGCCACGGTGCCCAGCTTCACTATGCCATTTCATGCAAGGGGCTTGAGCATCTGCAGATTTTGGTATCTGAATGGGGATCCTGGAACCAATCACCCAGGTATAGTGAAGGACCATGGTATATAATTTTTATTTGTCAATCTTAAAAATAAAGCATAAAAAATTTACAACAACAAGATAAAAAATAAGAAGTGTTTTTATAGTGTGAGGATAAGTTTAGATTTATTTTTTCCTACGTGTAACCCTATGGTCCTGTGTTATTTGTTGAGAAAATATTCTATTCCACCTTAAACTACATGGCAGCCTTTGTCAACTATAAAGGGACTGTGTATCCACAGATGTATTTTAGACACAGTTTTCTGTCCAGTGGTTCTCTGTATCCCCTCTCATGAGGATGCTGCATTTTATATAAACTTATAGAACCCCTTAAAATTTGGTAACCTGAGTCCTCTGATTTGTTATTATAGGTTATTTAGTTTGCTTTTTTTTTTTTCTTGAGACAGACTCTTCCTCTGTCACCCAAGCTGGAGTTCAGTGGCTTGAGCTCAGCTCACTGCAACCTCCGCCTCCCAGGTTCAAGCTATTCTGATGCCTCTGGTTTAGTACTAGAAACTCAAGCAGGAAAATTAGAATGGCTTCTTGTCACAATTACTCTGATAATGTTAATAATACCTGTTAGACATTTTGCACATTACATATGAAGAAGAGTTTGAATCTCAGATAAAAACAAAAATACATCAAAAATCTTTAATGTAAGCACAGAATTCAATCATCTCGTGTATGAGAGGTTGGATCTGAGACGTCTTTTGAGTCTGGTCGTAGTGAAGGACGCAAGGTGTCAATTCTAGTGAGAACAATTTCCAGGAAGCCATGTTCCGCTCTTGAGCGAGCACCCACTGGGCCTCATGCAAGGTAGAAAGAGCCTGCGTACGTCACCCTCCCATGATGTGGTCAACATGTAAACTGCATGGGCAGGGCGCCAAATAACATCCTGTGCGCTGCTGAGCTGAGCTGGGGCGCGGCCGCCTGTCTGCACAGACAGCACCATGTCGCTCATGGTCGTCAGCATGGCGTGTGTTGGTGAGTCCTGGAAGGGAATCGAGGGAGGGAGTGCGGGGATGGAGATCGGGGCCCAGAGTTGGAGATATAGGCCTGGAAGTGGAGTTATGGGCCTAGAGATGGAGTGATGGGCCTAGAAGTGGAGATCTGGGCCTGGAGTGGAGATATGGGCCTGGAGGTTGAGATATGGGCCTGCAGTAGAGATATGGGCTTGTAGTGGAGACATGGGCCTGGAGATGGAGATATGGGCCTGGAGATGGAGATATGGGCCTGCAGTAGAGATATGGGCCTGGAGTGGAGATATGGGCCTGGAGTGGAGATATGGATCTGGAGGTGGAGATACGGGCCTGCAGTAGAGATATGGGCCTGGAGTGGAGATATGGGCCAGGAGTGGAGTTATGGGCCTAGAGGTGGATATCTGGGCCTGGAGTGGAGATATGGGCCTAGGAAGGAGATATGGGCCTGGGTGTGGAGATATGGGACTGGAGAGGTGATATGGGCCTGGAGTGGAGATATGGGCTTAGGGTGGAGATCTGGGCCTGGGGCAGAGATATGGGACTGGATTGGAGATATGGGCCTAGGGTGGAAATATCAGCCTGGAGTGGAGATATGGGCTTGTGGTGGGGATCTGGGCCTGGAAACTGGGTCTCTGCACAGCCGACAGCCCTGTTCTTGGGTGCAGGTAGGCACTGAGGGTGAGTTTAACTTCAGCCCAGGAAGGGCCTGGCTGCCAAGACTCACAGCCCAGTGGGGGCAGCAAGGGAGTCCTGGTTTGCCTGCAGATGGATGGTCCATCATGATCTTTCTTTCCAGGGTTCTTCTTGCTGCAGGGGGCCTGGCCACATGAGGGTGAGTCCTTCTCCAAACCTTCGGTTGTCATCTCCCCACATAAGAGGATTTTCCTGAAACAGGAGGGAAGTCCTGTCAGGGAGTCTCTCATAAACTGGGAAGAGAGGACCCTGGGGTGCTCGGCCCACATTTCTGACCTTGCCTCCCTGGCCTCTCAACCCCTTGGCAGAGTCAAGTTCTGTGGGGACCAGGGTTAGACTGGGGTGCTCAAAGCTGGGGTGTGTGGTGGGGAAGTGGTAGGAACAGCAGATCCTCTGAGGACAAAGGTGTTACTCACACACTTCAGCGTTTCCATGATGGTAGGGGCTGCAGTGTGGCTGCTGTCATTCTACCAGAAGAGGTGGGAAACCACAGCCATGGCCCTGACATTCCAAATCCTCTGATGGGGGCTCAGTTGTTTATTTTCGTTCAGGCATCCGCTGATATCCACTCACAAAGGACATGCCCTCCACCTCATGTCTACCCTGTGTTGTTTTATGTGAGTAATCTTACAGTATTAAAATCTAGTAGGAGTCTCTTTACTCAGCACTTGCTCAAAGTTCTCAGCTGAGGCTTTTGTTGTAGGGAGACACCATGTCTTTGCGGGATGGGTCCTTCCTTCAGCCCTGGGCACCAAGGTGTGATAGTAGCCATAGAAACGTGGAAAGCGAGGAGAATCTTCTGAGCACAGGGAGGGAGGGGCAGTTCCACATCCTCCTCTCTAAGGCGGCGCCTCCTTCTCCCCAAGGTGGTCAGGACAAGCCCTTGCTGTCTGCCTGGCCCAGCCTTGTGGTGCCTCTAGGACATGTCATTCTTCGGTGTCACTCTTATCTTGGGTTTAACAACTTCAGTCTGTACAAGGAAGGTGGGGTGCCTGTCCCTGAGCTCTACAACAGAATATTCTGGAACAGCCTTTTCATGGGCCCTGTGACCCCCGCACAACAGGGACATACAGATGTCGGGGTTCACACACACACTCCCCCAGTGGGTGGTCAGCACCCAGCAACCCCCTGGTGATCGTGGTCATAGGTCAGAGGGCTCCTGTCTTGGATTCTCCTTGTCCCACCTCCTGAATCCCAGAGCTTCTGGTGGGCATGTCCTTGAGGGTCCCATCACGCAGGCCCTGACTGTATTTGTGGTAAAGGGGGATTGAATACAGGGAAATGGGTGCTGTGGTGGGAAGAATAATTGTCCCCAGTGATGACTACATTCTAATCCCTGGAGTCTGTGACTATGTATGTTATAGGGGAAGGGACTGAAGGGGAAGATGGAGCTCATGGGGAGACAGCCTGGACTGTCCCACTGGGCTCAGTGTAATCACAAGGGTGCACATGAAAGGAGGAGGAAGAGGGGAGTGGGGATTAGAGCAGTCCAGTGGAAGTCTTCACCAGCTTTGAAGGTGGAGGAAGGCCAAGAGCCATGAATGCAGGTGGCCTATAGAGGCTGGAAAAGTCAAGGAACTGATTCTCCAGAGTCTCCAGAGGAAACGAAGCCCTGCAGATGCCTTGATTTTAGCCCAGGAAAAATAGGGTCCAATTTCTGTCTCCAGTACTGGAAGGTGTCAGTGTGGTCTCTCCTGCTTCCATGCTTCTGATAATTTTGTACAGCAGCAACAGGAAACCAACACTGGAACCCAGGTCAAGGACAAGTTAAGAAACAACCCAAGGAAAGCCAGGCATGGTGGCAGGCGCATGTAATCCTAGCGACTCAGGAGGCTGAGGGCAGGAGAATCACTTGAACCCAGGAAACAGAGGTTGCAGTGAGCCTAGACCACACCACTTCACTCCAGCCTGGGTGAAGGAGTGAGACTCTGTCTCCAAAATTAATTAATTAATTAAAGAAACCAAACAAGGAGAAGGTTGGCTACCCTGAGATCAGCAAGGGTGGGATGATGATGCCACCACCAGGCTCCATCCACATAGGGAGGGGTTGATACTCCTCCAACCAGCACCAGGAGCCAGCCTATGGAAGCTGGCACCATGGAGAAGGCACAGGCATGGCAAGAGTGGCTCCCAGTCCCCACCAGGAACAGGGTGTGTGGACACTGGTGCCTGCCTTATTCATCAGTTCATACCTTCTGCCAAGGATTGCAATTCATCCAAAAGAGATTGAACAAGGCTGATAAGAGCCTGGATGTGCAGCCTATCCTGGTTCCTCTTTCACCCCCACATAAACAGCAGGAAAGACGTTAGTGTGAAATAGATACAACACCCCAAGAGATGAGGCTAAGCCCAGTGGGAAGGGAATCAGAGGCTACTAGAGACAGAGGGACAGAGAAGAGGGAGGGAGACAGATGGAAGGACCTGCACCAGGAGTTATGGGCACAGAAAAGAACATGAAGACACAGAGAGGAAGGAGAGAGACAGACACCAGCAAGGGGAAGCCTCACTCATTCTAGGTGCCATGGATGGGATGATAAAGAGAGACACCTTCTAAACTCACAACCTCTCTTCTTAGGAGTCCACAGAAAACCTTCCCTCCTGGCCCACCCAGGTCCCCTGGTGAAATCAGAAGAGACAGTCATCCTGCAATGTTGGTCAGATGTCAGGTTTGAGCACTTCCTTCTGCACAGAGAGGGGAAGTATAAGGACACTTTGCACCTCATTGGAGAGCACCATGATGGGGTCTCCAAGGCCAACTTCTCCATCGGTCCCATGATGCAAGACCTTGCAGGGACCTACAGATGCTACGGTTCTGTTACTCACTCCCCCTATCAGTTGTCAGCTCCCAGTGACCCTCTGGACATCGTCATCACAGGTGAGAGTGTCCGGACATTCTCATTGTCATTGGGCTGCAGAGTGAATGATCCACGACTTGGAACCCCCAGGTAGTTGTAAGGAAGATGAGCTTGGTATTCTTATGGAGAGAGACTGACTTGCTGAGGTTTGTACCAACAGAGACAGAGAAACAGGAGACACAAGTACAGACCAGGTGTCATAACGGAGGACAGACACAGGGGCCATACAGGGAGTTAGAAAAGACAGAAAGAGTTAAAGGAGACAGACAGACAGACATGTCCCAGAGAGAGGTGTCCCTCCATGCTGACTTTGCTCACAGACCTGGCACAGGATAGAAGTTTCATTTCTGTTTTACCTCCACAAAGTGTTCTCTACCAGGAGAACCCAAGGACACCCATATTTCTGACCTGAGTTGGGCCCTGTGGCCTCAGGCCTTGTGGCACCTACAGGCCATGTTTATTCTGACACCTCTGCCTTCCATGTAATGGAGAGTAACCGTCCCAGGATATCATGGCCCCAGAACACCAACCCCTGTATGCTGTGTGAACTTGTGGTCTCCAGACTGGATTCTGAGGCTCACATTCCAAATAACCCCACATATGAAAGGATCACTGAGAGGCACAGAGAGAAATCAGGAACACCAAAAAGCAAAGACATAAACACACAGAGAATGGGCCAGAGGAAGGAGATTGAGAGACTCACTGACACATAAAGAGAGAGAAAAGAGGGCAGAGGAGTGGTGAGAATGATGGAAGGGAGCAGAGAAAAGCACTAAAATTAGAGTCCTGAGGGAGAGGCACAAGGACATAGAAAGATGGAGATGTGGGGATGAACTGCAGAGATTCCAAAGAGAACTAGAGAGACCGAGAGGCAGAGCAAGACAGATGATAGATGGATAGATATAGATAGATGATAAATAGGTAGATGATAGATAATAGGTTAAAGATACATAGATGATGATTGATTGATTCATTAATAGATAATACATAGAGATGATGATGATGAAGACAGATAGATAATACGTACAGATAGAGAGGCAGACAGAAATCATAGAGAGAGAGATGATACATACATATAAATAACAGATGATTGATGGATAGATAGACAACTGATAGATACATAGATGATATATAGATATAGATGACAGGTAGAGAATTTGTAGATAGGCACCGAATAGATAAATAGATAGATCGACAGATAATAGATAGAAATATGCAGAAAGTTATGAACAGGACACAACGTGAGAAACTTAGAATTTAAAAAAGTAACATCAAGTCAACCAATCCAAGGAGAGTCAGAGAGAATAAAAGAATCCAAAAAGGGAAAACATATCTAGAGGTGGGGAAGCGAGGTCAGAGACCTAGAGAGACAGAGAAGGTGGAAGGAGGAAATAGACATGAAGAGAGATGGGGTGGAGGGTGAGAGAGAGAGAGAGAGAGCATTAGGTCATAGAGCAGGGGAGTGAGTTCTCAGCTCAGGTGAAGGGAGCTGTGACAAGGAAGATCCTCCCTGAGGAAAATGCCTCTTCTCCTTCCAGGTCTATATGAGAAACCTTCTCTCTCAGCCCAGCCGGGCCCCACGGTTTTGGCAGGAGAGAGCGTGACCTTGTCCTGCAGCTCCCGGAGCTCCTATGACATGTACCATCTATCCAGGGAGGGGGAGGCCCATGAACGTAGGTTCTCTGCAGGGCCCAAGGTCAACGGAACATTCCAGGCCGACTTTCCTCTGGGCCCTGCCACCCACGGAGGAACCTACAGATGCTTCGGCTCTTTCCGTGACTCTCCCTATGAGTGGTCAAACTCGAGTGACCCACTGCTTGTTTCTGTCACAGGTGAGGAAACCCCATATCTGTCTCATGTCCTATGATCCTAGAGCCTTAGCTGAGGAGCTTCCTGCTGATGATGGAGAGAAGCATGGACAGATGCAGAGAGAAGACGAAGCTTGGGTGTGAGGGAGGGATCAGGGCACAGGATGGCAGACAGGGCACCTCCAAACCCTCCTACACGGCCTGCATGAAGGCCCGCGGCCAGGGCTCCAGGCACACAGGCAGATGGAGAAAACGGTCAGGAGAGACCCAGAGGAGAGAGACTGGGCTCAGTTTGGGAAGATCAGAGGTTCCCTCAGCCCCTCAACATTATCCATTTCCCAGAAGCCCATCCTGGCCTCTCACCCACACAGGGATGTCATCACCAGCAACCCCTACACCCTTTACTTTTGTTTGAAGAAATATTTATTGAGGATAAATATACCTATATAGCTTACCACCTTTAACATTTTTTTTTTTTTTGAGGCAGAGTCTAGCTCTGTCCCCTATGCTGGAGTGCAGTGGCACAATCTCAGCTCACTGCAATTTCCGCCTCCTGGGTTCAAGCGATTCTCTTGCCTCAGCCACCTGAGTAGCTGGTGCTACAGGCGCGCACCACCACGCCAGGCTACTTTTTGTATTTTTAGTAGAGAGGTGGTTTCACCATGTTGGTCGAGCTGGTCTCCAACTCCTGACCACGTGATCCACCCGCATGTGCCTCCCAAAGTGCTGGGATTACAGGCATGAGCCACCACGCCCAGCCACATTTACCATTTTTAAGTGTAAAGTCTAGTGGTCATAAATACATTTATATATATATATTTTTTTTTTTTTTTTTTACCCTCCACCCTTTTCTTCCTGGCCTCTGGAAGCCATCATTCTACTCTCTACCTTCATGAGATCCACCTTTTAGCTCTGTATATGGGTGAGAAATGGGAATCTTTGTAATGACTTCCAGTTCCATCCATGTGGCTGCAAATATCAGGATGTTATTCTTTCTATGGATGAGTAGTCTCCACTGTGCGTATGTACTACATTCTCTCTATCCATTCATCCACTGATGGGCAGGTAGGTTGACTCCACATCTTGGCTACTGTGAACAGTGCTGCACCAATCATACGAGTGCAGATATCACTTCGATATATTGATTTACTTTCCTTTGGATATAAACCCAGTAGTGAAATTGCTGGATACTATGAAAGTTCTCTTTTTAGTTTTTCGTTTGTTGTTTTGTTTTTGTTTTTGAGACAGTTTCCCTCTGTGCCCAGGCTGGAGTACAAGTGATGTCATCTTGGCTCATTGCAACCTCTGCCTCCTGGGTTCAAATGATTTTCCTGCCTCAGCCTCCCTAGTAGCTGGGATTACAGGTGCACGCCACCATGCCTGGCTACTTTTTGTTTTTTTTAGTATAGATGGGGTTTCCCCATGTTGGCTGGGCTGCTCTCAAACTCATGACCTCAACTGAGATGCCCGCCTCAGTCTCCCAAAGTGCCGGGATTACAGGCCTGATCCACCACACCCAACCTCTTTTTAGTTCTTTAAAGGACTTCCATACTTTTCTCCGTAATCGCTGTACTAATTTACACTCCTCCCAACAGGGTACCAGGGTTCTCCTTTCTCTACCACCTTGCCAGCATTTCTTTTGCCTGTCTTGCAGCTAAAAGCCATTTTATTTTATTTCATTTTATTTTGAGATGGAGTTTTGCTCTTCTCACCCAGGCAGGAGTGCAGTGGCGCTATCTCGGCTCACCACAACCTCCACCTCCCAGGTTCAAGCGATTCTCCTGCCTCAGCCTCCCGAGTAGCTGGAATTACAGGCACACTCCACCACGCCCGACTAATTTTTGTATTTTTAGTAGAGACAGTGTTTCTCTATGTGGGTCAGACTGGTCTCAAACTCCTGACCTTATGAGATTCACCCACCTCAGGCTCTCAAAGTTCTAGGATGACAGACGTGAGCCACCACGCCCGGCCTAAAAGCCATTTTAATGGGGTGAGATGAAAACTCACTTTGATTTTAATTTGCGTTTCTCTGATGATGAGTGATACTGAGCACTTTTTAGTATGTGGGGAAATTTCATGTCTTCTGCTCCTTTTTCAATTAAATCATTTGTTTTATTGAGTTGTTTGAGCTTCTTATATTTCTAGTTATTAATCCCATCTCAGATGCATAGTTTGCACATATTTGCTCCCAATCTGTGGGTTGTCTCTTCACTTTGTTGGTTTATTTTTAGCAGTGCAGAAGTTGCTTAGTTTGAGGTAATCCCAATGGTCTATTTTTGCTTCGATTACTTGTGTTTTCAAGGTTTAAAACAAAATGTCTTTCTTCAGACAAATGTCCTGGAGCATTTCCCCAATATTTTGTTCTACGTGTTTCATAGGTTCAGGCCTTAGACTCACATCTTTAATCCATTTTCATTTGATTTTTGTGTATGGTGACAGGTAGAGGTGCAGTTTCATTCCTCTGCATGTCGATGTCCAGGTTTCCCTGCACTGTTTATTGAAAAGACTGTCCTTTCCTGATTGTGAGTTCTTGGCACCTTTGTCAAAGTCCATTGGATGGGCTGGGCTTGGTGGCTGACACCTGCAATTTCAGCACTTTGGGAGGCCGAGGCGGGTGGATTACCTGAGGCCAGGAGTTCAAGATCAGTCTGGACGACGTGATGAAACATCGTCTCCACTAAAAATATAAAAATTAGCTGAGCATGGTGGTCAGCACCTGTAATACCACTACTCAGGAGTTTGAGGCAAGAGAATGATTGAACCCAGGAGGCTGAGGTTGCAGTGAACTGAGATTGCACCTCTGCACTCCAGCCTGAGTGACAGAGCAAGACTCCATCTCAAAAGAAAAAATAAAAAACCATTGGATGTAAATGCATGGAATATATCTGTGTTATTCATTCTGCTCCGTTGTTCTATGTCCCTTTCTTTATGCCAATGTCATGCTGTTTTGCTTACTACAGCTCTGTAACATATTTTGAGATCAGGTAGTGTGATGCTCCTGTTTTCTCTTTATACCTTGAAGTCTCAAGACAGTGGGCGTCACATAAAAAAATTATGGAAAAAAGGATCCCAGGACTCCCAGGGCCCAATATTAGATAACAGAGTGTTGGCCATGAACCATCCTCAAAGATTTCCACTGAGTAGAGGACAGACACCCTCATTTCCTCACCTCTCTCCTGTCTCATGTTCTAGGAAACCCTTCAAATAGTTGGCCTTCACCCACTGAACCAAGCTCCAAAACCGGTGAGTACAGAACCCTCTTATATCCGCTTTTGGAAACCTGGGGAGGTGGAAACCTTGGATTCAGGCGTTGACTCAGCATCTCACAGCTCTGACATTGTACCCCTGTCTTCCACCATCTCCGAACTCCAGATACTCCTACAGCGAAAGGGATCTGGGTCCAACACAGGGCTCAGTGAAATCTCTTCATCTCTCATTTTATGGAGCTGAGACTTCCTACAAGCTAGAAGAATGATTGCCAATCTGACATCCTTCTCAGGAAAAATGCAATGTTTGTTCTGCCTGCATTCCTAACTGGAGGATAAATTCCTGGAGACTTGAGAGAGGGAAGGGAAGGGAACATCTGATGAGGGCGAGGTGTTTTAGAGAAGTTCCACTTGCCAAGGAATGAGCTCCTATAGGTCATGAAGCAACCCTGGCTGACTCAGCAGAGAAAGAGCCTTGCTGTAACAGAGAACAGAGCTCATGCACGCACACTTCGACTCACTGACTCATTCAGCCACGGCCCCATGCTCAGGCTGTGCACTGTGGAAGCTTTTCCTATTGTTGCCATAACAAATTTCCACAAGATTCGTGGGTGAAAACAAAACGGTTTTTTAATTATCTTACAGTGCTGTAGCTCAAAGTATGAAGTGCATCTCACTGGGCTAAAATCAAGGTGACAGCAAGGCTGCCTTCCCTCTGAGGATTCCAGGCAAGAATCTGCTTCTCACTTTTCTCAGCTTCTAGAGGCTCCCACATTCCTTCGCTCCTGGTCCCCTTCCTCCTTCCTCAAAGCCCACAAAGACTGGTCACATCTCACATGGCATCACTCAGACCCTTCTTCCTTACCACACCTCTTTCTCTGAATGCTGCTCTCCCTTCTTCCTCATCTTTTGAAAACTTGGGGATTCTATTGGGTTCACCAAGATGAAAATCCATCATAATCTCCCGGAAATCATTCAGGATACCCTTGTTTTAAGTTCAGCTGATTAGCAACCATAATTCCATCTGCAATCTTCATTCCTCCTTTCCATGTAAAATAAGATATTCACAAGCTATGGAGGCTAGGACAGGGACATTTTGGGGTGGGACAGCATTCTCCTGCCTTCCACAAACAGTGAACAAGATGCATTTGGCCTCTGCTCTTTGGACACTGATATTGCAGATGGTTAAATGGGAGGGCAGAAAATGAATGCACAAGTGGACCAATAAATGAATGATCCATTGGGAAGCATCTGTGTATGAAATCTATTTGTTTGTTTCTTCATTTGTTTATTGAGACAGTCTCCCTCTGTCTTCCAGGCTACAGTGCAGTGTCACCATCTTGGCTCACTGCAACCTGCACCTTCTGGATCCAAGTGATTCTCCTGCGTCAGCCTCTCAAGTAGCTGGGATTACAGGCAACTGCCACCATGCCCGGCTAATTCTTTTTGTATATTTTTTGTAGAGGATGTTTCACCATCTTCGCCAAGCTTCTCTGAAACTCCCAACCTCAAGTGATCCGACCGTCTCAGCATCCTAAAGTACTGGGATAACTGGCGTGAGCCACTGTGCCCAGCCAGAATTTAAAATAAATAATACATAATGCTGAGTGTATGATTTTGGGTGACAGAGAAGATCTCACTAATCAGATATTTGTGACATTAATGAAAAACACGGATTGAACCCCTGAAAGATTGGCGGAAGGATTTTCCACACACAGCTGTCAGCCGTGAAGGCAGAAAGCTGAAAACAATCTGATGTGGAAGGAAGAGGCTCTGCCTCAAATGCTGGGAATGAGGTGGGGAGAATGACAAGACGACTGTGGAGAGACGGAGAGCACACTGGGTACACAGGAAACTAAGGAGCAACAAGGAGTGTGTGTTTGACACTCACAGCCATTGGATTCACCTCGGGGTAGCCAGGAATCCCTACATGATTAATAGTGACTGACATGAAAATAAGGGAGGCCCAGGTGCGTAACTGGAATCTAGGAGACTGTGGAAAAGGCAATTCCCGCCCCACTGGTGAAATGTGGTGCTGATTTAGACCCTAACTGGGTGAAGCAGATGGATATAAGCTATGCTTGTGAGGTGGAATCATTGGCTGGAAAGGCTTGCTGGGTATGATTTTCCTAGTTGTCTAATCCTCGCTTAATTTCTTTCTGAGCTTTATTCCTACTACACATAAATCAATACCTGGCAAAGGAGTGACAGATATATGAGGGGTGGTGGAAATGAAGGGACCTATTATAGCATAATATACAAGTCTGTGAACGGTGGCTCACGCCTGTAACCCAGCACTGCAGGAGGCCAAGGCGGGTGGATCACATGAAGTCAGCAGTTCGAGACCAGCCTGGCCAACATGGTGAAACCCTGTCTCTAGGAAAAACACAAAAATTAGCCGAGCATGGTGGTGCATCCCTGTAATCCCAGCTCCTACTCTGGAGGATGAAGCAGGAGAATGACTTCAACCCAGGAGGTGGAGGTTGCAGTGAGTGGAGATTGCATCACTGCACTCCAGCCTGGGTGACACAAGGAGACTCCGTCTCAAAAAATAAAAATAAGAAATGCATAAATATAAATATAATATAACACATGCAAATGAGAAAGGGACCTGAATTCCAATCATGATTTTTCTATTTCTCTATAATTACTTCTTTGATCCTTTATCTTATCCATTAGGCAATGAGCCTAAAACCTCTTCCCTATTTGGCTTTCTGTGAGCATGAGATCATATAGAAAATGTGAAAGCCCGCTGAATCCTCCAGCACAGATCCTGGAATACACAAAGTGCTCTGTTCATCACAAGAAAACATGCCCTCTCACCCAAATCCCCCACCTCACCCCTACTTCCAATCATCTGTGGAGATTCAGATAGGCCATGGGGAGGTAAATTCTAATACTCCTTGGAGTGAGTCCAGATCTTGGAATCAGAGATTAGCGTCAGCAGTAGCTCCTGCTCCCCTTTCCTACTAATTCACAGGAGGACAGGTGGTATTGAAGCAATAGATGGCCGAGGGGGTGGTCCTTCCCCCAGCCTCTCGGGTAGAACAGCAACCTAACATGTGTCTCCTGAGATCACAAAGAGTAGCACGTTTCACATGGGCTTCAACACTGTTTCCTGGCCATTTGACATAAGAGAATTCTACTTCGCTTTTTTTATCTTGATTTCACTTTTGTTTCCTTTTCTTGGAGAATGCAAGTTGTTTGACTCAAGAATGCCGTGGATGTAGAAATCCTAAAGCACAGTCGCTGTGTATCAATCCCAGTGCAGTCTTCCCAGAGAAGACTCTAAACACCTCCTGGACTGCACCTGGGCCTATGCCAATTCCTATCACTCACCGTCACTCCAGGGAGACAGAACACACAGAGAATACATTACACAGGCAGGTTCATTACTAACAGATAAGCAGCGAGTGACAACAGAAGCCTACATTTCAATGTGAGCCAGTCCCTCAAGGCTCAGAAAAGCTGCTCGGGACATATGGAGTCACCCCATTTGCAGTGTAGCTGGGGGAAGCCAGAAAGCAGCCCAGCCTGGGTTTTGTACCCTGGAGCCACAGGAAGCACTCAGCTAAAGCACTGCATGACGCCTTCCTCCAGGAAGAACAGGAAGACAGCCCAGGCTGTTCTGAGACATTCCTCCTGATCTCAGGTCGTTGCTGTCTTAGTTTTTTTTTTTGTTGCTCTGAAGGAACACTTGAGCCTCGGTAACTTCTAAAGAAAAGAGATCGGTTTGCCTCACAGTTCTGCAGGCTGTACTGGAAGCATGGCACCAGAATCTATTTCTCGTGATGGCCTCAGGCTGCTCCCACTCTGGCAGAAGGGAAGGAGGGTCTGTCTGTGCAGAGACCACAGAGATCACACGGCAAGAGAGAGAGTAAGGGGGAGAGGGAGCAATGGAGCTTCCAAGCTCTTTTTAACAACCAGCTGTCCAGGAACTAACAGAGGGGGAACTTGCTAACCCCGTCTCCTTGGGACAGCATTGATCTGTTCATGATGGATCCACCTCCATGACCCAAACACCTCTGAAGAGGCCCAACCTCCCACAATGGGGGTGAAATTTCAATGTGAGGTTTGAAGGGGTCAAACATCTCAACTAAAGTAGTTGTATCCTCAGCACGTTCTATGGTTACTATGAGAGCTATAATTGAGAAAGCAGGGGAAAGCTAGGTCTCCCGCCATTTGGGTGCTTGTCCTAAAGAGACGTTGTATGTGGTTACCTGCCAATCAAGAAATGCGAGACAATTCATAAAGAGGAACTGCTATGATTAGCTTCTTATTGGTGTCTCCTCTTCTTCCAGGTAACCCCAGACACCTGCATGTTCTGATTGGGACCTCAGTGGTCAAAATCCCTTTCACCATCCTCCTCTTCTTTCTCCTTCATCGCTGGTGCTCCAACAAAAAAAGTAAGTCTCACGAAGCAGAGGCCAGAGAGCTCAGGGCCATGTGGGGAAGCAGGATGGGAGCACTCAGGTGTGTGTTCCTCACCAGCAGGATGGTCCCTGGCCCAAGACAGGAGCC
Organism: Homo sapiens; assembly: GCF_000001405.40. Lineage (NCBI taxonomy): Eukaryota > Metazoa > Chordata > Mammalia > Primates > Hominidae > Homo > Homo sapiens. The sequence goes on along the minus strand of NT_113949.2, from coordinate 124,117 downwards.
ACAGAGGCAGGACTTTCTAGAGAGAGCACCAGATTCCCTTCCCCTGCCTTCAGCTCACAGACCGTTGCCTGATTCTGAACTGTACCCTCACGTCCCCTGCAGCCACTCACATCCAGGAGAAGGTTCCATGACAGGCAGAAAGTGGGAGATAGAATCAATGGGATGGGAACTCAGAGCTATTCATGGGATGGGTCCTTGAACTCAGAGAGATAGAATGTCTGAGTCTGCTGTTGGCAACTGAGGGACCTCAGGCACCTATGGCCTCCCCCTGTTTGTTGGTATCTGCTTATGAAATGAGGACCCAGAAGTGCCCTCCGAGCTCTTTTGTTGACTTCCGTCTTCTACAGATGCTGCTGTAATGGACCAAGAGCCTGCAGGGAACAGAACAGTGAACAGCGAGGTAGGTGCTCCTCGGCCCAGCCTCGTGGCTAGTCTTATTCCCAAAGAGTCCTGAAAAATGTGAGCACCCTCCCTCACTCAGCATTTCCCTCTCTCCAGGATTCTGATGAACAAGACCATCAGGAGGTGTCATACGCATAATTGGATCACTGTGTTTTCACACAGAGAAAAATCACTCGCCCTTCTGAGAGGCCCAAGACACCCCCAACAGATACCAGCATGTACATAGAACTTCCAAATGCTGAGCCCAGATCCAAAGTTGTCTTCTGTCCACGAGCACCACAGTCAGGCCTTGAGGGGATCTTCTAGGGAGACAACAGCCCTGTCTCAAAACCGGGTTGCCAGCTCCCATGTACCAGCAGCTGGAATCTGAAGGCATCAGTCTTCATCTTAGGGCATCGCTCTTCCTCACACCACGAATCTGAACATGCCTCTCTCTTGCTTACAAATGTCTAAGGTCCCCACTGCCTGCTGGAGAGAAAACACACTCCTTTGCTTAGCCCACAATTCTCCATTTCACTTGACCCCTGCCCACCTCTCCAACCTAACTAGCTTACTTCCTAGTCTACCTGAGGCTGCAATCACACTGAGGAACTCACAATTCCAAACATACAAGAGGCTCCCTCTTAACACAGCACTTAGACACGTGCTGTTCCACCTCCCTTCAGACTATCTTTCAGCCTTCTGCCAGCAGTAAAACTTATAAATTTTTTAAATAATTTCAATGTAGTTTTCCCGCCTTCAAATAAACATGTCTGCCCTCATGGTTTCGGTAACGAGACTCTTCTCTTGCCTAAGGCTTCCGGTGTTATCATTACCATGTCCACATAACCCCATCTGTTCTCCATTGGGTTCTCAGCCCTGGACTCTGAGCTTCTGGAAGCAGAATGGAGCCTGAATTGTCTCTGAGACTCCAATTTCCATCCAAAGATACAGCACATAGGAGGCTCCAAGGATCGTGAATCACATGAACAAGTGATATTCTTACTCTCTGCAGACCTGGAAAGCTGGCAGAGTCATTCCACGATGAAACATTTGTAGAGTCATAGGCCTTGTTAGTCTCATCTCCACGGGGACACATATCAACATATCATCTTTCATAATATAAATATACAGTCGGTCCTCCATATCTGTGGGGTTTACAGGTGTTTATTGAACCAACAATAAATCAAAAATATTTTGAGAAAAAAATCCCCGAAGTTTCAAGAAGCAAAAAACTATGTTGAATCGACACAAATTGAGTGGCGTGTAGGCTGTGTCAGGAATTATAAGTAATCAAGAGATGATTTCATGTATACAGGAGGATGTGCATGGGTTCTATGCAATTGCTATGCTATTTTTTTTTTTTGAGACAGTCTCACTCTCTCACCCAGGCTGGAGTGCAGTGGCGTGATCTCAACTCACTGCAACCTCCGCCTCCCAGGTTCAAGCGATTGTCTTCCCTCAGCCTCCCCAGTAGCCTCCCCTAGGATTACAGGCACGTGCCACCATGCACAGATAAATTTTTTTGTGTGTGTATTTTTAGTAGAGACGGGGTTTCAGAATGTTGGACCAGCTGGTCTTGAACTCCTGACCTTGTGATCTACCCAGCTCAGCCTCCCAAAGTGCTGGGATTACGGGCGTGAGCCACGGTGCCCAGCTTCACTATGCCATTTCATGCAAGGGGCTTGAGCATCTGCAGATTTTGGTATCTGAATGGGGATCCTGGAACCAATCACCCAGGTATAGTGAAGGACCATGGTATATAATTTTTATTTGTCAATCTTAAAAATAAAGCATAAAAAATTTACAACAACAAGATAAAAAATAAGAAGTGTTTTTATAGTGTGAGGATAAGTTTAGATTTATTTTTTCCTACGTGTAACCCTATGGTCCTGTGTTATTTGTTGAGAAAATATTCTATTCCACCTTAAACTACATGGCAGCCTTTGTCAACTATAAAGGGACTGTGTATCCACAGATGTATTTTAGACACAGTTTTCTGTCCAGTGGTTCTCTGTATCCCCTCTCATGAGGATGCTGCATTTTATATAAACTTATAGAACCCCTTAAAATTTGGTAACCTGAGTCCTCTGATTTGTTATTATAGGTTATTTAGTTTGCTTTTTTTTTTTTCTTGAGACAGACTCTTCCTCTGTCACCCAAGCTGGAGTTCAGTGGCTTGAGCTCAGCTCACTGCAACCTCCGCCTCCCAGGTTCAAGCTATTCTGATGCCTCTGGTTTAGTACTAGAAACTCAAGCAGGAAAATTAGAATGGCTTCTTGTCACAATTACTCTGATAATGTTAATAATACCTGTTAGACATTTTGCACATTACATATGAAGAAGAGTTTGAATCTCAGATAAAAACAAAAATACATCAAAAATCTTTAATGTAAGCACAGAATTCAATCATCTCGTGTATGAGAGGTTGGATCTGAGACGTCTTTTGAGTCTGGTCGTAGTGAAGGACGCAAGGTGTCAATTCTAGTGAGAACAATTTCCAGGAAGCCATGTTCCGCTCTTGAGCGAGCACCCACTGGGCCTCATGCAAGGTAGAAAGAGCCTGCGTACGTCACCCTCCCATGATGTGGTCAACATGTAAACTGCATGGGCAGGGCGCCAAATAACATCCTGTGCGCTGCTGAGCTGAGCTGGGGCGCGGCCGCCTGTCTGCACAGACAGCACCATGTCGCTCATGGTCGTCAGCATGGCGTGTGTTGGTGAGTCCTGGAAGGGAATCGAGGGAGGGAGTGCGGGGATGGAGATCGGGGCCCAGAGTTGGAGATATAGGCCTGGAAGTGGAGTTATGGGCCTAGAGATGGAGTGATGGGCCTAGAAGTGGAGATCTGGGCCTGGAGTGGAGATATGGGCCTGGAGGTTGAGATATGGGCCTGCAGTAGAGATATGGGCTTGTAGTGGAGACATGGGCCTGGAGATGGAGATATGGGCCTGGAGATGGAGATATGGGCCTGCAGTAGAGATAGGGGCCTGGAGTGGAGATATGGGCCTGGAGTGGAGATATGGGCCTGAAGTGGAGATATGGGCCTGGAGGTGGAGATATGGGCCTGGAGGTGGAGATATGGGCCTGGAGTGGAGATATGGGTCTGGAGGTGGAGATACGGGCCTGCAGTAGAGATATGGGCCTGGAGTGGAGATATGGGCCAGGAGTGGAGTTATGGGCCTAGAGGTGGATATCTGGGCCTGGAGTGGAGATATGGGCCTAGGAAGGAGATATGGGCCTGGGTGTGGAGATATGGGACTGGAGAGGTGATATGGGCCTGGAGTGGAGATATGGGCTTAGGGTGGAGTTCTGGGCCTGGGGCGGAGATATGGGACTGGATTGGAGATAGGGGCCTAGGGTGGAGATCTGAGCCTGGATTGGCGATATGGGCCTAGGGTGGAAATATCAGCCTGGAGTGGAGATATGGGCTTGGGGTGGGGATATGGGCCTGGAAACTGGGTCTCTGCACAGCCGACAGCCCTGTTCTTGGGTGCAGGTAGGCACTGAGGGTGAGTTTAACTTCAGCCCAGGAAGGGCCTGGCTGCCAAGACTCACAGCCCAGTGGGGGCAGCAAGGGAGGGCTGGTTCGCCTGCAGATGGATCGTCCATCATGATCTTTCTTTCCAGGGTTCTTCTTGCTGCAGGGGGCCTGGCCACATGAGGGTGAGTCCTTCTCCAAACCTTCGGGTGTCATCTCCCCACATAAGAGGATTTTCCTGAAACAGGAGGGAAGTCCTGTCGGGGAGTCTCTCATAAACTAGGAAGAGAGGACCCTGGGGTGCTCAGCCCACATTTCTGACCTCGCCTCCCTGGCCTCTCAACCCCTTGGCAGAGTCAAGTTCTGTGGGGACCAGGGTTAGACTGGGGTGCTCAAAGCTGGGGTGTGTGGTTGGGAAGTGGTAGGAACAGCAGATCCTCTGAGGACAAAGGTGTTACTCACACACTTCAGCGTTTCCATGATGGTAGGGGCTGCAGTGTGGCTGCTGTCATTCTACCAGAAGAGGTGGGAAACCACAGCCATGGCCCTGACATTCCAAATCCTCTGATGGGGGCTCAGTTGTTTATTTTCGTTCAGGCATCCGCTGATATCCATTCACAAAGGACATGCCCTCCACCTCATGTCTACCCTGTGTTGTTTTATGTGAGTAATCTTACAGTATCAAAATCTAGTAGGAGTCTCTTTACTCAGCACTTGCTCAAAGTTCTCAGCTGAGGCTTTTGTTGTAGGGAGACACCATGTCTTTGCGGGATGGGTCCTTCCTTCAGCCCTGGGCACCAAGGTGTGATAGTAGCCATAGAAACGTGGAAAGCGAGGAGAATCTTCTGAGCACAGGGAGGGAGGGGCAGTTCCACATCCTCCTCTCTAAGGCGGCGCCTCCTTCTCCCCAAGGTGGTCAGGACAAGCCCTTGCTGTCTGCCTGGCCCAGCCTTGTGGTGCCTCTAGGACATGTCATTCTTCGGTGTCACTCTTATCTTGGGTTTAACAACTTCAGTCTGTACAAGGAAGGTGGGGTGCCTGTCCCTGAGCTCTACAACAGAATATTCTGGAACAGCCTTTTCATGGGCCCTGTGACCCCCGCACAACAGGGACATACAGATGTCGGGGTTCACACACACACTCCCCCAGTGGGTGGTCAGCACCCAGCAACCCCCTGGTGATCGTGGTCATAGGTCAGAGGGCTCCTGTCTTGGATTCTCCTTGTCCCACCTCCTGAATCCCAGAGCTTCTGGTGGGCATGTCCTTGAGGGTCCCATCACGCAGGCCCTGACTGTATTTGTGGTAAAGGGGGATTGAATACAGGGAAATGGGTGCTGTGGTGGGAAGAATAATTGTCCCCAGTGATGACTACATTCTAATCCCTGGAGTCTGTGACTATGTATGTTATAGGGGAAGGGACTGAAGGGGAAGATGGAGCTCATGGGGAGACAGCCTGGACTGTCCCACTGGGCTCAGTGTAATCACAAGGGTGCACATGAAAGGAGGAGGAAGAGGGGAGTGGGGATTAGAGCAGTCCAGTGGAAGTCTTCACCAGCTTTGAAGGTGGAGGAAGGCCAAGAGCCATGAATGCAGGTGGCCTATAGAGGCTGGAAAAGTCAAGGAACTGATTCTCCAGAGTCTCCAGAGGGAACAAAGCCCTGCAGATGCCTTGATTTTAGCCCAGGAAAAATAGGGTCCAATTTCTGTCTCCAGTACTGGAAGGTGTCAGTGTGGTCTCTCCTGCTTCCATGCTTCTGATAATTTTGTACAGCAGCAACAGGAAACCAACACTGGAACCCAGGTCAAGGACAAGTTAAGAAACAACCCAAGGAAAGCCAGGCATGGTGGCAGGTGCATGTAATCCTAGCGACTCAGGAGGCTGAGGGCAGGAGAATCACTTGAACCCAGGAAACAGAGGTTGCAGTGAGCCTAGACCACACCACTTCACTCCAGCCTGGGTGAAGGAGTGAGACTCTGTCTCCAAAATTAATTAATTAATTAAAGAAACCAAAGAAGGAGAAGGTTGGCTACCCTGAGATCAGCAAGGGTGGGATGATGATGCCACCACCAGGCTCCATCCACATAGGGAGGGGTTGATACTCCTCCAACCAGCACCAGGAGCCAGCCTATGGAAGCTGGCACCATGGAGAAGGCACAGGCATGGCAAGAGTGGCTCCCAGTCCCCACCAGGAACAGGGTGTGTGGACACTGGTGCCTGCCTTATTCATCAGTTCATATCTTCTGCCAAGGATTGCAATTCATCCAAAAGAGATTGAACCAGGCTGATAAGAGCCTGGATGTGCAGCCTATCCTGGTTCCTCTTTCACCCCCACATAAACAGCAGGAAAGACATTAGTGTGAAATAGATACAACACCCCAAGAGATGAGGCTAAGCCCAGTGGGAAGGGAATCAGAGGCTACTAGAGACAGAGGGACAGAGAAGAGGGAGGGAGACAGATGGAAGGACCTGCACCAGGAGTTAAGGGCACAGAAAAGAACATGAAGACACAGAGAGGAAGGAGAGAGACAGACACCAGCAAGGGGAAGCCTCACTCATTCTAGGTGCCATGGATGGGATGATAAAGAGAGACACCTTCTAAACTCACAACCTCTCTTCCTAGGAGTCCACAGAAAACCTTCCCTCCTGGCCCACCCAGGTCGCCTGGTGAAATCAGAAGAGACAGTCATCCTGCAATGTTGGTCAGATGTCAGGTTTGAGCACTTCCTTCTGCACAGAGAAGGGAAGTTTAAGGACACTTTGCACCTCATTGGAGAGCACCATGATGGGGTCTCCAAAGCCAACTTCTCCATCGGTCCCATGATGCAAGACCTTGCAGGGACCTACAGATGCTACGGTTCTGTTACTCACTCCCCCTATCAGTTGTCAGCTCCCAGTGACCCTCTGGACATCGTCATCACAGGTGAGAGTGTCCGGACATTCTCATTGTCATTGGGCTGCAGAGTGAATGATCCACGACTTGGAACCCCCAGGTAGTTGTAAGGAAGATGAGCTTGGTATTCTTATGGAGAGAGACTGACTTGCTGAGGTTTGTACCAACAGAGACAGAGAAACAGGAGACACAAGTACAGACCAGGTGTCATAACGGAGGACAGACACAGGGGCCATACAGGGAGTTAGAAAAGACAGAAAGAGTTAAAAGAGACAGACAGACAGACATGTCCCAGAGAGAGGTGTCCCTCCATGCTGACTTTGCTCACAGACCTGGCACAGGTTAGAAGTTTCATTTCTGTTTTACCTCCACAAAGTGTTCTCTACCAGGAGAACCCAAGGACACCCATATTTCTGACCTGAGTTGGGCCCTGTGGCCTCAGGCCTTGTGGCACCTACAGGCCATGTTTATTCTGACACCTCTGCCTTCCATGTAATGGAGAGTAACCGTCCCAGGATATCATGGCCCCAGAACACCAACCCCTGTATGCTGTGTGAACTTGTGGTCTCCAGACTGGATTCTGAGGCTCACATTCCAAATAACCCCACATATGAAAGGATCACTGAGAGGCACAGAGAAAAATCAGGAACACCAAAAAGCAAAGACATAAACACACGGAGAATGAGCCAGAGGAAGGAGATTGAGAGACTCACAGACACATAAAGAGAGAGAAAAGAGGGCAGAGGAGTGGTGAGAATGATGGCAGGGAGCAGAGAAAAGCACTAAAATTAGAGTCCTGAGAGAGAGGCACAAGGACATAGAAACATGGAGATGTGGGGATGAATTGCAGAGATTCCAAAGAGAGCTAGAGAGACCGAGAGGCAGAGCAATACAGATGATAGATGGATAGATATAGATAGATGATAAATAGGTAGATGATAGATAATAGGTTAAAGATACATAGATGATGATTGATTGATTCATTAATAGATAATACATAGAGATGATGATGATGAAGACAGATAATACGTACAGATAGAGAGGCAGACAGAAATCATAGAGAGAGAGATGATACATACATATAAATAACAGATGATTGATGGATAGATAGACAACTGATAGATACATAGATGATATATAGATATAGATGACAGGTAGAGAATTTGTAGATAGGCACCGAATAGATAAATAGATAGATCGACAGATAATAGATAGAAATATGCAGAAAGTTATGAACAGGACACAACGTGAGAAACTTAGAATTTAAAAAAGTAACATCAAGTCAACCAATCCAAGGAGAGTCAGAGAGAATAAAACAATCCAAAAACGGAAAACATATCTAGAGGTGGGGAAGCGAGGTCAGAGACCTAGAGAGACAGAGAAGGTGGAAGAAGGAAATAGACATGAAGAGAGATGGGGTGGAGGGTGAGAGAGAGAGAGAGAGAGCATTAGGTCATAGAGCAGGGGAGTGAGTTCTCAGCTCAGGTGAAGGGAGCTGTGACAAGGAAGATCCTCCCTGAGGAAAATGCCTCTTCTCCTTCCAGGTCTATATGAGAAACCTTCTCTCTCAGCCCAGCCGGGCCCCACGGTTCTGGCAGGAGAGAGCGTGACCTTGTCCTGCAGCTCCCGGAGCTCCTATGACATGTACCATCTATCCAGGGAGGGGGAGGCCCATGAATGTAGGTTCTCTGCAGGGCCCAAGGTCAACGGAACATTCCAGGCCGACTTTCCTCTGGGCCCTGCCACCCACGGAGGAACCTACAGATGCTTCGGCTCTTTCCGTGACTCTCCATACGAGTGGTCAAACTCGAGTGACCCACTGCTTGTTTCTGTCACAGGTGAGGAAACCCCATATCTGTCTCATGTCCTATGATCCTAGAGCCTTAGCTGAGGAGCTTCCTGCTGATGATGGAGATAAGCATGGACAGATGCAGAGAGAAGACGAAGCTTGGGTGTGAGGGAGGGATCAGGGCACAGGATGGCAGACAGGGCACCTCCAAACCCTCCTACACGGCCTGCATGAAGGCCCGCGGCCAGGGCTCCAGGCACACAGGCAGATGGAGAAAGCGGTCAGGAGAGACCCAGAGGAGGGAGACTGGGCTCAGTTTGGGAAGATCAGAGGTTCCCTCAGCCCCTCAACATTACCCATTTCCCAGAAGCCCATCCTGGCCTCTCACCCACACAGGGATGTCATCACCAGCAACCCCTACACCCTTTACTTTTGTTTGAAGAAATATTTATTGAGGATAAATATACCTATATAGCTTACCACCTTTAACATTTTTTTTTTTTTTGAGGCAGAGTCTAGCTCTGTCCCCTATGCTGCAGTGCAGTGGCACAATCTCAGCTCACTGCAACTTCCGCCTCCTGGGTTCAAGTGATTCTCCTGCCTCAGCCACCTGAGTAGCTGGTGCTACAGGCGCGCACCACCACGCCAGGCTACTTTTTGTATTTTTAGTAGAGAGGTGGTTTCACCATGTTGGTCGAGCTGGTCTCCAACTCCTGACCACGTGATCCACCCGCATCTGCCTCCCAAAGTGCTGGGATTACAGGCATGAGCCACCACTCCCAGCCACATTTACCATTTTTAAGTGTAAAGTCTAGTGGTCATAAATACATTTATAAATATATATATATATATATATGTATGTATATATATATACACACACATATATATACATATATATATGTGTATATATATATATATATATATATATATATATATATATATATATATTTTTTTTTTTTTTACCCTCCACCCTTTTCTTCCTGGCCTCTGGAAGCCACCATTCTACTCTCTACCTTCATGAGATCCACCTTTTAGCTCTGTATATGGGTGAGAAATGGGAATCTTTGTAATGACTTCCAGTTCCATCCATGTGGCTGCAAATATCAGGATGTTATTCTTTCTATGGATGAGTAGTCTCCACTGTGCGTATGTACTACATTCTCTCTATCCATTCATCCACTGATGGGCAGGTAGGTTGACTCCACATCTTGGCTACTGTGAACAGTGCTGCACCAATCATACGAGTGCAGATATCACTTCGATATATTGATTTACTTTCCTTTGGATATAAACCCAGTAGTGAAATTGCTGGATACTATGAAAGTTCTCTTTTTAGTTATTCGTTTGTTGTTTTGTTTTTGTTTTTGAGACAGTTTCCCTCTGTGCCCAGGCTGGAGTACAAGTGATGTCATCTTGGCTCATTGCAACCTCTGCCTCCTGGGTTCAAATGATTTTCCTACCTCAGCCTCCCTAGTAGCTGGGATTACAGGTGCACGCCACCATGCCTGGCTACTTTTTGGTTTTTTTAGTATAGATGGGGTTTCCCCATGTTGGCTGGGCTGCTCTCAAACTCATGACCTCAACTGAGGTGTCCGCCTCGGTCTCCCAAAGTGCCGGGATTACAGGCATGATCCACCTCACCCAACCTCTTTTTAGTTCTTTAAAGGACTTCCACACTTTTCTCCGTAAAGGCTGTACTAATTTACACTCCTACCAACAGGGTATTAGGGTTCTCCTTTCTCTACCACTTTGGCAGGATTTCCTTTGCCTGTCTTGCAGCTAAAAGCCATTTTACTTTATTTCATTTTATTTTGAGATGGAGTTTCGCTCTTGTCACCCAGGCTGGAGTGCAGTGGTGCGATCTCGGCTCACCACAACCTCCACCTCCCAGGTTCAAGCGATTCTCCTGCCTCAGCCTCCCGAGTAGCTGGAATTACAGGCACACGCCACCACGCCCGACTAATTTTTGTATTTTTAGTAGAGACAGTGTTTCTCCATGTGGGTCAGACTGGTCTCAAACTCCCGACCTTATGAGATTCACCCACCTCAGGCTCTCAAAGATCTAGGATGACAGACGTGAGCCACCACGCCCGGCCTAAAAGCCATTTTAATGGGGTGAGATGAAAACTCACTTTGATTTTAATTTGCGTTTCTCTGATGATGAGTGATACTGAGCAGTTTTTCGTATGTGGGGAAATTTCATGTCTTTTGCTCCTGTTTCAATTAAATCATTTGTTTTATTGAGTTGTTTGAGCTTCTTATATTTCTAGTTATTAATCCCATCTCAGATGCATAGTTTGCACATATTTGCTCCCAATCTGTGGGTTGTCTCTTCACTTTGTTGGTTTATTTTTAGCGGTGCAGAAGTTGCTTAGCTTGAGGTAATCCCAATGGTCTATTTTTGCTTCGATTACTTGTGTTTTGAAGGTTTAAAACAAAATGTCTTCCTTCAGACAAATGTCCTGGAGCATTTCCCCAATATTTTCTTCTACGTGTTTCATAGGTTCAGGCCTTAGACTCACATCTTTAATCCATTTTCATTTGATTTTTGTGTATGGTGACAGGTAGAGGTGCAGTTTCATTCCTCTGCATGTAGATGTCCAGGTTTCCCTGCACTGTTTATTGAAAAGACTGTCCTTTCCTGATTGTGAGTTCTTGGCACCTTTGTCAAAGTCCATTGGATGGGCTGGGCATGGTGACTGACACCTGCAATTTCAGCACTTTGGGAGCCCAAGGCGGGTGGATCACCTGAGGCCAGGAGTTCAAGATTAGTCTGGCCGACGTGATGAAACATTGTCTCCACTAAAAATATATAAATTAGCTGAGCATGGTGGTCAGCACCTATAATACCACTACTCAGGAGTTTGAGGCCAGAGAATTGATTGAACCCAGGAGGCTGTGGTGGCAGTGAACCGAGATTGCACCTCTGCACTCCAGCCTGGGTGACAGAGCGAGACTCCATCTCAAAAGAAAAAAGAAAAAAACATTGGATGTAAATGCATGGATTATATTTGTGTTGTTCATTCTGCTCCATTGTTCTATGTGCCTTTCTTCATGCCAACATCATGCTGTCTTGCTTACTACAGCTCTGTAACATATTTTGAGATCAGGTAGTGTGATGCTCCTGTTTTCTCTTTATACCTTGAAGTCTCAAGACAATGGGCGTCACATACAAAAATTATGGAAAAAAGGATCCCAGGACTCCCAGGGCCCAATATTAGATAACAGAGTGTTGGCCATGAACCAACCTCAAAGATTTCCATTGAGTAGAGGACAGACACCCTCATTTCCTCACCTCTCTCCTGTCTCATGTTCTAGGAAACCCTTCAAATAGTTGGCCTTCACCCACTGAACCAAGCTCTAAAACCGGTGAGTACAGAACCCTCTTATATCCGCTTTTGGAAACCTGGGGAGGTAGAAACCTTCGATGCAGGCATTGACTCAGCATCTCGCAGCTCTGACATTGTACGCCTGTCTTCTACCATCTCCGAACTCCAGATACTCCAACAGCGAAAGGGATCTGGGCCCAACCTAGGGCTCAGTGAAATCTCTTAATCTCTCATTTTATGGAGCTGAGACCTCCTACAAGCTAGAAGAATGATTGCCAATCTGACATCCTTCTCAGGAAAAATGCAATGTTTGTTCTGCCTGCATTCCTAACTGGAGGATAAATTCCTGGGGGCTTGAGAGAGGGAAGGGAAGGGAACATCTGATGAGGGCGAGGTGTTTTAGAGAAGTTCCACTTGCCAAGGAATGAATTACTGTTGGTCATGAAGCAACCCTGGCTGACTCAGCAGAGCAACAGCCTTGCCGTAACAGAGAACGGAGCTCATGCACGCACACTTCGACTCACTGACTCATTCAGCCACGGCCCCATGCTCAGGCTGTGCAGTGCGGAACCTTTTCCTATTGTTGCCATAACAAATTTCCACAAGATTCGTGGGTGAAAACAAAACGGTTTTTTAATTATCTTACAGTGCTGTAGCTCAAAGTAGGAAGTGCATCTTACTGGGCTAAAATCAAGGTGACAGCAAGGCTGCCTTCCCTCTGAGGATTCCAGGCAAGAATCTGCTTCTCACTTGTCCCAGCTTCTAAAGGCTCCCAGTTCCTTGGCTCCTGGTCCCCTTCCTCCTTCCTCAAAACCCACAAAGACTGGTCACATCTCACATGGCATCACTCAGTGCCTTCTTCCTTACCACACCTCTTTCTCTGAATGCTGCTCTCCCTTCTTCCTTATCTTTTGAAAACTTGGGGATTCTATTGGGTTCACCAAGATGAAAATCCCTCATAATCTCCTGGAAATCATCCAGGATACCCTTGTTTTAAGTTCAGCTGATTAGCAACCGTAATTCCATCTACAATCTTCATTCCTCCTTTCCATGTAAAATAACATATTCACAAGGTATGGAGGCTAGGACAGGGACATTTTGGGGTGGGACAGCATTCTCCTGCCTTCCACAAACAGTGAACAAGATGCATTTGGCCTCTGCCCTTGGGACACTGATATTGCAGATGGTTAAATGGGAGGGCAGAAAATGAATGCACAAGTGGATCTATAAATGAATGATCCATTGGGAAGCATCTGTGCATGAAATCTATTTTTTGTTTGTTCTTTTGTTTATTGAGACAGAGTTGCCCTCTGTCTTCCAGGCTACAGTGCAGTGTCACGATCTTGGCTCACTGCAACCTGCTTCTCCTGGATTCAAGTGATTCTCCTGCCTCCGCCTCTCGAGTAGCTGGGATTACAGGCAACTGCCACCGTGCCCGGCTAATTCTTTTTGTATATTTTTTGTAGAGAGGATGTTTCACCACGTTGGCCAAGCTTGTCTGAAACTCCCAACCTCAAGTGATCCGACCGTCTCAGCATGCCAAAGTAATGGGACTACAGGCGTGAGCCACTGTGCCCAGCCAGAATTCAAAATCAATAATAGATAATGCTGAGTGTATGATTTCAGGTGACAAAGAAGGTCTCACTATTCAGATATTTGTGACATTAATGAAAAACACGGATTGAACCCCTGAAAGATTGGCGGAAGGATTTTGCACACACAGCTGTCAGCCGTGAAGGCACAAAGGTGAAAACAATCTGATGTGGAAGGAAGAGGCTCTTCCTCAAATGCTGGGAATGATGTGGGGAGAATGACAAGATGACTGTGGAGAGACGGAGAGCACACTGGGTACACAGGAAACTAAGGAGGAACAAGGAGTGTGTGTTTGACACTCACAGCCATTGGATTCACCTCGGGGTAGCCAGGAATCCCTACATGATTAATATGACTGACATGAAAATAAGGGAGGCTCAGTTGCATAACTGGAATCTAGGAGACCGTGGAAAAGGCAATTGCCGCCCCACTGGTGAAATGTGGTGCTGATTTAGACACTAAATGAATGAAGTAGATGGATATAAGATAGGTTTGTGAGGTAGAATCATTGACTGGAAAGGCTTGCTGGGTTTGATTTTCCTACTTGTTTAATCCTCGCTTAATTAATTTCTTTCTGAGATTTATTCATCCTACACATAAATCAATACCTGGCAAAGGAGTGACAGATATATGAGGGGTGGTGGAAATGAAGAGACCTATTATAGCATAATATACAAGTCTGTGAACGGTGGCTCACGCCTGTAACCCAGCACTGCAGGAGGCCAAGGCGGGTGGATCACATGAAGTCAGCAGTTCGAGACCAGCCTGGCCAACATGGTGAAACCCTGTCTCTAGGAAAAACACAAAAATTAGCCGAGCATGGTGGTGCATCCCTGTAATCCCAGCTCCTACTCTGGAGGATGAAGCAGGAGAATGACTTCAACCCAGGAGGTGGAGGTTGCAGTGAGTGGAGGTTGCATCACTGCACTCCAGCCTGGGTGGCACAAGGAGACTCCGTCTCAAAAAATAAAAATAAGAAATGCATAAATATAAATATAATATAACACACGCAAATGACAAAGGGACCTGAATTCCAATCATGATTTTTCTATTTCTCTATAATTACTTCTTTGATCCTTTATCTTATCCATTAGGCAATGAGCCTAAAACCTCTTCCCTATTTGGCTTTCTGTGAGCATGAGATCATATAGAAAATGTGAAAGTCCGCTGAATCCTCCAGCACAGATCCTGGAATAGAGAAAGTGCTCTGGTCATCACAAAAAAAACTTGCCCACTCACCCAAATCCCCCACCTCACCCCTACTTCCAATCACCTGTGGAGATTCAGGTAGACCATGGGGAGGTAAACATTAACACTCCTTGGAGTGAGTCCAGATCTTGGAATCAGAGATCAGCGACAGCACTAGCTCCTGCTCCCCTTTCCTACTAATTCACAGGAGGACAGGTGGTATTGAAGCAATAGATGGCCGAGGGGGTGGTCCTTCCCCCAGCCTCTCGGGTAGAACAGCAGCCTAATATGTGTCTCCCGAGATCACAAAGAGCAGCAGGTTTCACACGGGCTTCAACACTATTTCCTGGCCGTTTGACATAAGAGAATTCTATTTCGCTTTTTTTATCTTGATTTCACTTTTGTTTTCTTTCCTTGGAGAATGCAAGTTGTTTGATTCAAGAATGCTGTGGATGTAGAAACCCTAAAGCACATTCGCTGTGAATCAATCCCAGTCCAGTCTTCCCAGAGAAGACTCTAAACACCTCCTGGACTGCACCTGGGCCTATGCCAATTCCTATCACTCACCGTCACTCCAGGGAGACAGAACACACAGAGAATACGTTACATAGGCAGGTTCATTACTAACAGATAAGCAGCGAGTGACAACAGAAACCTATATTTCAATGTGAGCCAGTCCCTCAAGGCTCAGAAAAGCTCCTCGGGACATATGGAGTCACCCCATTTGCAGTGTAGCTGCGGGAAGCCAGAAAGCAGCCCAGCCTGGGTTTTGTACCCTGGAGCCACAGGAAGCACTCAGCTAAAGCACTGCATGACGTCCTCCAGGAAGAACAGGAAGACAGCCCAGGGTGTTCTGAGACGTTCCTCCTGATCTCAGGAAGTTGCTGTCTTAGGCCATTTTTGTTGCTCTAAAGGAACACTTGAGCCTCGGTAACTTCTAAAGAAAAGAGATTGGTTTGCCTCACCGTTCTGCAGGCTGTACTGGAAGCATGGCACCAGCATCTATTTCTCGTGACGGCCTCAGGCTGCTCCCACTCTGGCAGAAGGGAAGGAGGGTCTGTCTGTGCAGAGACCACAGAGATCACACGGCAAGAGAGGGAGCAAGGGGGAGGGGGAGTGATGGAGCTTCCAAGCTCTTTTTAACAACCAGCTCTCCGGGAACTAATAGAGGGGGAACTTGCTAACCCCGTCTCCTTGGGACAGCATTGATGTGTTCATGATGGATCCACCTCCATGACCCAAACACCTCTCAAGAGGCCCAACCTCCCACAGTGGGGGTGAAATTTCAATGTGAGGTTTGAAGGGGTCAAACATCTCAACTAAAGTAGTCGTATCCTCAGCACGTTCTATGGTTACTATGAGAGCTATAACTGAAAAAGCAGGAGAAAGCTGGGTCTCCTGCCATCTGGGTGCTTGTCCTAAAGAGATGTTTTATGTGGTTACCTGTCAATCAAGAAATGCGAGACAATTCATAAAGAGGAACTGCTAAGATTAGCTTCTTATTGGTGTCTCATCTTCTTCCAGGTAACCCCCGACACCTGCACATTCTGATTGGGACCTCAGTGGTCATCATCCTCTTCATCCTCCTCTTCTTTCTCCTTCATCGCTGGTGCTCCAACAAAAAAAGTAAGTCTCACGAAGCAGAGGCCAGAGAGCTCAGGGCCATGTGGGGAAGCAGGATGGGAGCACTCAGGTGTGTGTTCCTCACAAACAGGATGGTCCCTGGCCCAAGGCAGCAGCCACAGAGGCAGGACTTTCTAGAGAGGGCACCAGACTCCCTGCCCCTGCCTTCAACTCACAGACCGTTGCCTGATTCTGAACTGTATCCTCATGTCCCCTGCAGCCACTCACATCCAGGAGAAGGTTCCATGACAGGCAGAAAGTGGGAGACAGAATCAATGGGATGGGAACTCAGAGCTATTCATGGGATGGGTCCTTGAGCTCAGAGAGATAGAATGTCTGAGTCTGCTGTTGGCAACTGAGGGACCTCAGCCACCTATGGTCTCCCCCTGTATGTTGGTATCTGCTTATGAAATGAGGACCCAGAAGTGCCCTCCGAGCTGTTTTGTTGACTTCCGTCTCCTACAGATGCTGCGGTAATGGACCAAGAGTCTGCAGGGAACAGAACAGCGAATAGCGAGGTAGGTACTCCTCGGCCCGGGCTCGTGGCTACTGTTATTCCCAAAGAGTCCTGGAAAATGTGAGCACCCTCCCTCACTCAGCATTTCCCTCTCTCCAGGACTCTGATGAACAAGACCCTCAGGAGGTGACATACACACAGTTGAATCACTGCGTTTTCACACAGAGAAAAATCACTCGCCCTTCTCAGAGGCCCAAGACACCCCCAACAGATATCATCGTGTACACGGAACTTCCAAATGCTGAGTCCAGATCCAAAGTTGTCTCCTGCCCATGAGCACCACAGTCAGGCCTTGAGGGCGTCTTCTAGGGAGACAACAGCCCTGTCTCAAAACCGGGTTGCCAGCTCCCATGTACCAGCAGCTGGAATCTGAAGGCATGAGTCTGCATCTTAGGGCATCGCTCTTCCTCACACCACAAATCTGAATGTGCCTCTCACTTGCTTACAAATGTCTAAGGTCCCCACTGCCTGCTGGAGAAAAAACACACTCCTTTGCTTAGCCCACAGTTCTCCATTTCACTTGACCCCTGCCCACCTCTCCAACCTAACTGGCTTACTTCCTAGTCTACTTGAGGCTGCAATCACACTGAGGAACTCACAATTCCAAACATACAAGAGGCTCCCTCTTAACGCAGCACTTAGACACGTGTTGTTCCACCTTCCCTCATGCTGTTCCACCTCCCCTCAGACTAGCTTTCAGTCTTCTGTCAGCAGTAAAACTTATATATTTTTTAAAATAACTTCAATGTAGTTTTCCATCCTTCAAATAAACATGTCTGCCCCCATGGTTTCGGTAATGGGACTCTTTTCTTGCCTAAGGCTTCCGGTGTTATCAGTACCATGTCCATATAATCCCATCTGTTCCCCACTGAGTTCTCATCCCCGGACTCTGAGTTTCTGGAAGCAGGGTGGAGCCTCATTTGTCTCTGAGACTCCAATTTCCATCCAAAGATGTAGCACATAGGAGGTTCCAAGGATCACGAATCATATGAACAAGTGATACTCTTACTCTCTGCAGACCTGGAAAGCTGGCAGAGTCATTCCACAATGAAACATTTGTAGAATCATAGGCCTTGTTAGTCTCATCTCCATGGGGACACATATCAACACATCATCTTTCATAATATAAATATACGGTCACTCCTCCATATCTGCGGGGTTTACAGGTGTTTATTGAACCAAGTATAAATCAAAAATATTGAGAGAAAGTATCCACAGAGTTTCAAAAAGCATAACTATGTTGAATGGACACAAATGAAGCTGTGTGTAGGCTGTATCAGGAATTATAAGTAATCTAGAGATGATTTCATGTATACAGGAGGATGTGCATAGGTTATTTGCAAACTCTGTGCCATTTCATATAAGAGGCTTGAGCATCTACAGATTTTGGTATCTGAGTGGAGATCTCAAAACCAATCACCCACGAATAGTGAAGGATGACCGTATATGACTTTTATTTCTCAAATTTAAATATAAATCATAAAAAATGTACAACTAGATAAAAACTAAGAAGTGTTTTTATAGTGTGAGTTAGATTTATTTTTTCCTAGGTGTAACCAATTGGTTTAATATTATTTATTGAGAAGACATTCTATGCCACCTTAAACCACACGGCAGCCTTTGTCAACTCTAAAGGGACTGTGTGTACATGGATGTATTTTAGACACTGTTTCTGCTAAGGGGCTCTCTGTGTCCACACTCTTGATGATGCTGCACTTTATGTAGCCTTATAGAACCCTTTAAATTTAGTAGCCAGAGCCCTCTAATTTGTTATTATAGGCTGTTTGCTTTTTTTTTCTTGAGGCGGAGTCTTGCTCTGTCGCCCAGGCTGGACTGCAGTGACACAATCTCAGCTCACTGCAACCTCCGCCTCCCAGGTTCAAGCGATTCTCGTGCCTCAGCCTCTTGAGCAGCTGGCGTTACAGGTGCCTGCCACCAGGCACGGCTAATTTTTGGATTTTTAACAGAGACACGGTTTCACTATATTGGCCAAGCTGCTCTCAAACTCCTTATCTCAGTTGATCCGCCCACCTCGGCTTCCCAACGTGCTGGGGAAAACTTGATTTTCTATAGCATTATGTTACTGGATATTTCTGTAAAATTTAAAACGAGGGAGGGAGAGAGACAGACAGAGAGCAAACTCCAGAGTTGGGACTCTGGAATCTTGGGTCATGAGACAAATTTTAGATTAAACTACAAAACTCCAGAATTTACAGGTGTGGTTTTTGCTGATAAAGTACAATTCTAAGATTGTAAATAATTGCATAATCCTTCCCTGGGAATTTAAATCATTTTAGCTGGTTCTGCTGTAATACTAGAAATACAAGCATGAAAAATTCTAATGGTTTATTAGTCACAATGACTCCGAAAACATTAATAATACCTATTAGATACTTTGCATATTACACAGGAAGAAGAGTTTGAATCTCAGATAAAAACAAAAAAAATACATGAAAAGTCTTTCATGTTAGCACAGATTTTAGGCATCTCGTGTTCGGATAAAAATACATGAAAAGTCTTTCACGTTAGCACAGATTTTAGGCATCTTGTGTTCGGGAGGTTGGATCTGAGACGTGTTGTGAGTTGGTCATAGTGAAGGACGTGAGGTGCCAATTCTAGTGAGAACAATTTCCAGGAAGCCGTGTTCCGCTCTTGAGCAAGCATCCACTGGGCCTCATGCAAGGTAGAAAGAGCCTGCGTACGTCACCCTCCCATGATGTAGTCAACATGTAAGCTGCATGGGCAGGGCGCCAAATAACATCCTGTGCGCTGCTGAGCTGAGCTGGGGCGCGGCTGCCTGTCTGCACCGGCAGCACCATGTCGCTCATGGTCGTCAGCATGGCGTGTGTTGGTGAGTCCTGGAAAGGAATAGAGGGAGGGAGCGCGGGGATGGAGATCTGGGCCCAGAGGTGGAGATATAGGCCTGGAGGTGGAGTTATGGGCCTGGAGTGGAGATCTGGGCCTGGAGTGGATATATGGGCCTGGAGATGGAGTGATGGGCCTAGAAGTGGAGATCTGGGTCTGGAGTGGAGATATGGGCCTGGAGGTGGAGATATGGGCCTGGAGTGGAGATCTGGGCCTGGAGTGGAGATAGGAACCTGGAGGGGAGATATGAGCCTGGAGTGAAGATATTGGCCTGGGATGGAGATATGGGCCTGGAGTGGAGACATGGGCCTGGAGGTGGAGATATGGGCCTGGAGGTGGAGACATGGGCCTAGAGGTGGATATCTGGGCCTGGAGTGGACATATGGGCCTAGGATGGAGATATGGGCCTGGGTGTGGAGATATGGGCTTGGGGTGGAGATATGGGCCTGGATTGGAGATATGGGTCTAGGGTGGAAATATTGGCCTGGAGTGGAGATATGGGCCTGGAGTGGAGATATGGGCTTGGGGTGGGGATAGGGGCCTGGGGTGCGGATATGGGCCTGCAGGCTGGGTCTCTACACAGCCGACAGCCCTGTTCTTGGGTGCAGGCTGGCACTGAGGGTGAGTTTCCCTTCAGCCCAGCAAGGGCCTGGCTACCAAGACTCACAGCCCAGTGGGGGCAGCAAGGGAGTCCTGGTTTGCCTGCAGATGGATGGTCCATCATGATCTTTCTTTCCAGGGTTCTTCTTGCTGCAGGGGGCCTGGCCACATGAGGGTGAGTCCTTCTCCAAACCTTAGGGTGTCATCTCCCCACATAAGAGGATTTTCCTGAAACAGGAGGGAAGCCCGGTGGGGGATTTTCTTATAAACAAGGATGAGGAGACCCTGGGGTGCTCAGCCCACAGTTCCGACCTTGCCCTCCCCAGCCTTCCTTTCCCTTGGCTGAGTCAGGTTCTGTGGGAACCCGGGAGGGTAGACTGGGGTCCTCCAAGCTGGGCTGTGCGGCTGGGATGTGGTGTCACTGGCAGAGGAAGGGAGCAAAGCAGTGCTAGGAACAGCAGGCCTCTGAGGACAAAGGTGTAACTCACACCCTCCAGCGTTTCCATGACGGTAGGGGCTGCAGTGTGGCTGCTGTCATTCTACCTCAGAGGTGGGGGAACCCCAGCCAGGGCCCTGACCTTCCAAATCCTCTGTTGGGGGCTCAGTTGTGTATTGTGGTTCACACATTGGCTGATATTCCATTCACAAAGAACATGCCCTCGACTCCATGTCTATTTGTGTTGTTTTATGTGAGTAATCTTGCAGGATTAAAATCTAGTAGGAGTCCCTTACTCAGCACTTGCTCAAAGTTCTCAGCTGACACTTTTGTTGTAGAGAGACGCCAAGTCTATGCGGGGTGGGTCCTTCCTGTAGCCCTGGGCACCCAGGTGTGGTAGGAGCCTTAGAAAGTGGAAATGGGAGAATCTTCTGACACGTGGAGGGAGGGGCGGCTCCACATCCTCCTCTCTAAGGTGGCGCCTCCTTCTCCCCCAGGTGGTCAGGACAAGCCCTTCCTCTCTGCCTGGCCCAGCCCTGTGGTGTCTGAAGGAGAACATGTGGCTCTTCAGTGTCGCTCTCGTCTTGGGTTTAACGAATTCAGTCTGTCCAAAGAAGACGGGATGCCTGTCCCTGAGCTCTACAACAGAGTATTCCGAAACACCGTTTTCATAGGCCCTGTGACCCCAGCACATGCAGGGACCTACAGATGTCGGGGTTCACACCCACACTTCCTCACTGGGTGGTCAGCACCCAGCAACCCCCTGGTGATCATGGTCACAGGTCAGAGGGCTCCTGTCTGGGATTCTCCTTGTCCCACCTCCTGAGTCCCAGAGCTTCTGGTGGGAGTGTCCACCAGCGTCCCATCATCCAGACCCTAACTGTATTTGGGGTAAAAGGGGATTGAATACAGGGAAATGGGTGCTGTGGTGGAAAGAATAATTGTCCCCAATGATGACTGCATTCTAATCCCTGCAGTCTGTGACTATTTATGTTATAGGGGAAGGCACTGAAGGGGAAGATGGAGCTCAGGTTGTTGAGTTGACCTTGAGATGGGGAGACAGCCTGGACTGTCCTGCTGGGCTCAGTGTAATCACAAGGGTGCACATGAGAGGAGAAGGAAGAGGGGAGTGGCGATTAGAGCAGTGCAATGGAAGTCTCCATCAGCTTTGAAGGTGGAGGAAGGCCATGAGCCATGAATGCAGGTGGCCTATAGAGGCTGGAAAAGTCAAGGAACTGATTCTCCTGGGTCTCCAGAGGGAACGCAGCCCTGCAGATGCCTTGATTTTAGCCCTCAAAAAACAGGGTCCGATTTCTGTCTCCAGAAACGGAAGGGGTCAGTGTGCTCTCTCCTGCTGCCATGCTTCTGATAATTTTCTACAGCACCAACAGGAAACCAACACTGGAACCCAGGTCAAGGACAAGATAAGAAAGGACACAAGGATAGCCGGGCGTGGTGGCAGGTGCATGTAATCCTAGCAACTCAGGAGGCTGAGGGCAGGAGAATCACTTGAACCCAGGAGACAGAGGTTGCAGTGAGCCTAGACCACACCACTTCACTCCAGCCTGGGTGAAGGAGTGAGACTCTGACTCCAAAATTAATTAATTAATTAAAGAAACCAAACAAAGAGAAGGTTGGCTACACCGAGATCAGCAAGGGTGGGATGATGATGCCACCACCAGGCTCCATCCACATAGGGAGGGGTTGATACTCCTCAAACCAGCACCAGAAGCCAGCCTATGGAAGCTGGCACCATGGAGAAGGCACAGGCATGGCAAGAGTGGCTCCCAGTCCCCACCAGGAACAGGGTGTGTGGACACTGGTGCCTGCCTTACTGATCAGTTCATACCTTCTGCCAAGGATTCCAATTCGTCCAAAAGAGATTGAACCAGTCTGCTAAGAGCCTGGACGTGCAGCCTATCCTGGTTCCTCTTCCACCCCCACATAGAAGCAGGAAAGACATTAGTTCGAAATAGATACAACAGCCCAAGAGATGAGGCTGAGCCCAGCGGCAAGGGAATCAGGAGCTACTAGAGACAGAGGGACAGAGAAGAGGGAGGGAGACAGATGGAAGGACCTGTACCAGGAGTTATGGGCACAGAAAAGAACATGAAGACACAGAGAGGAAGGAGAGAGATAAGACACCAGCGAGGGGAAGCCTCACTCATTCTAGGTGCCATGGATGGGATGATAAAGAGAGATGCCTTCTAAAGTCACAACCTCTCTTCCTAGGAGTCCACAGAAAACCTTCCCTCCTGGCCCACCCAGGTCCCCTGGTGAAATCAGAAGAGACAGTCATCCTGCAATGTTGGTCAGATGTCATGTTTGAGCACTTCCTTCTGCACAGAGAGGGGAAGTTTAATGACACTTTGCGCCTCACTGGAGAGCTCCATGATGGGGTCTCCAAGGCCAACTTCTCCATCGGTCGCATGACGCAAGACCTTGCAGGGACCTACAGATGCTACGGTTCTGTTCCTCATTCCCCCTATCAGTTGTCAGCTCCCAGTGACCCTCTGGACATCGTGATTACAGGTGAGAGTGTCTGGACATTATTCTCATTGTCACTGGGACACAGAGTGAATGATCCACGACTTGGAGGCCCAGGTGGTTATAAGGAAGATGAGCTTGGTATTCTTATGGAGAGAGACTAATTTGGTGAGGTCTGTACCAACAGAGACAGAGAAACAGGAGACACAAGTACAGACCAGGTGTCATAACAGAGGACAGACACAGGGGCCATACAGGGAGTTAGAAAAGACAGAAAGAGTTAAAGGAGACACAGACAGACATGTGCCAGAGAGAGGTGTCCTTCCATGCTGACTTTGCTCAGAGACCTGGCACAGGTTAGAAGTTTCATTTCTGTTTTACTTCCACAAAGTGTTCTCTACCAGAAGAACCCAAGGACACCCATATTTCTGGCCTGAGTTGGGCCCTGTGGCCTCAGGCCTTCTGGCACCTACAGATGCCGTGTTTATTCTGACACCTCTGCCTTCCATGCAATGGAGAGTAATCGTCCCAGGATATCATGGCCCCAGAACATCAACCCCTGTATACTGTGTGAACTTGCGGTCCCCAGACTGGATTCTGAGGCTCACATTCCAAATAACCCCACATATGAGAGGATCACTGAGAGACACAGAGAGAAATCAGGGACACCAAAAAGCAAAGACATAAACACACAGAGAATGAGCCAGAGGAAGGAGATTGAGAGACTCACAGACACATAAAGAGGGAGAAAAGAGGGCAGAGAAGTGGAGAGAACAATGGAAGGGAACAGAGAAAAGCACTAAAATTAGAGTCCTGAGGGAGAGGCACAAGGACATAGAAAGATGGAGATGTGGGGATGAATTGCAGAGATTCCAAAGAGAACTAGAGAGACCGAGAGGCAGAGCAAGACAGATGATAGATGGATAGATATAGATAGATGATAAATAGGTAGATGATAGATAATAGGTTATAGATACATAGATGATGATCGATTCATTCATTGATTAATCGATGATACATAGAGATGATGAAGATGAAGATAGATAGATAATACATAGAGATAGAGAGGCAGACAAAGAGAAATCATAGAGAGAGAGAGATGATACATAGATATAGATAATAGATGATTTTTGGATAGACAATTGATAGATAAATAGATTATATATAGATATAGATGACAGGTAGAGAATTTGTAGATAGGCACCAGATAGATAAATAGATATATCGATAGATAATAGATAGAAATATGCAGAAAGTTATGAACAGGACACAAAGTGAGAAACTCAGAATTTAAAAAAAGTAACATCAAGTCAACTAGTCCAAGGAGAGTCAGAGAGAATAAAACAATCCAAAAAGGGAAAACATATCTAGAGGTGAGAAAGTGAGGTCAGAGACCTAGAGAGACAGAGAAGGTGGAAAGAGGAAATAGACATAAAGAGAGATGGTGTGGAGGGTGAGACAGAGAGAGAGAGCATTAGGCCATAGAGCAGGGGAGTGAGTTCTCAGCTCAGGTGGGAGGGGAGTTGTGACAAGGAAGAACCTCCCTGAGGAAACTGCCTCTTCTCCTTCCAGGTCTATGTGGGAAACCTTCTCTCTCAGCCCAGCCGCGCCCCATGGTTAAGGCAGGAGAGAGCGTGACCTTGTCCTGCAGCTCCCGGAGCTCCTATGACATCTACCATCTATCAAGGGACGGGGAGGCTCATGAACTTAGGTTCCCTGCAGTGCCCAAGGTCAATGGAACCTTCCAGGCCAACTTTCCTCTGGGCCCTGCCACCCACGGAGGGACCTACAGATGCTTCGGCTCTTTCCGTGACTCTCCCTACGAGTGGTCAGACCTTAGTGACCCACTGCTTGTTTCTGTCACAGGTGAGGAAACCAGTCTGTTCCCCAAATAGTGGGACTCAGATGGACTACAATGGCCACATTCAGGGGAGCCTCAGATGGAGGGGGTGGCCATGGGGGTGTCAGCCAGAGATGCTGGACAGAAGAGACACAAAGCAAACATACAGAAAGAGGCATAGACAGACAGACAGAGCGAGGCAGACAGATCACATTAGGGTTTGGGGTGGTAACTGCAACCCTACCTGAAGCTTGCAGATAGAGCACAGGCCACATAAACCACTTCCCAGTCTTTGTACAGAAGCCCACCTGGGACACATGTAAACAGCATCAATGCTGACTCAGGAGCATGAAAGGCCGGGCTCAGATTGGAAAGACTAGAGGTAGCATTGGCCGCCCGCCATTGCCCATTTCCAGAAGCCCCCACCTCTCACCAAAGAGTGATTTCCACATGGGGGGCACAGATGCAACCATCGTTGGGGGAGCCCCAATGTCTCTTGATGGGAGGCATTTTCCACCCTAGATGTTTTTTGCTCTCTCCACACCTTGGAGACTCAGTGGGGGAGTCTTCTCTGGGGACTCGGGGAGGGCCTCCCTGGGACTCGCAGGATTTCCAAGCTAGATGACAACATGACAGGTGGAAACAGGCCCATTCCTTCGCCAGGGGCCCCAAGCTCCATCCCAGGAGATGAGAAGAGGCTCTTCTCATTGGTCAGTGGATCCCTGAGGGGACAGAGGCTCAGCACTGAAGGCTGAGAAGGATCTGCCACTTCGCTCAGTGGCCTCAAGCCAGACATCTTCCCTACAGACTTGCAGTGATTCTCCATCAGCATTTAGGGCTGTGGCCACCAACCTGGGTGTTGGTCTGTAGGAACTTTTCATTTCTGACCTTCCATAACTGAGTTCTCTTCCTAAATGTGGAATGCCTTGTACTCCATGTTACTCTCTCCCCAGAAAGAATGTGTGGCTTGTCTGCTCTCCAGCCCTGTCATGGAGATTGATAATCCTTAGGGAGCAAGAGGAGAGGGAAAGAACAAAGTATGAGACCACCTAGGTGCTACTGGTTGAGGTTCCATTTGCCAGTGAAGGGACTTCACTCAGCCGAGGGGGCAACTCAGGGAAGTCAGCCGAGGGAGGGCATTAGAGTAGAGAGAACTGAGCTCACCCAGTAAATGACCCCTTCACTAACTCATTCATCTAATATTTATTTCACACCTACCATCAGTTCTCTCTGTTTCATGGCCAGGAGTAGACAGCACGGCCAAGCTCCTGGGTTCATGATGCTCACATTGCTGTGGGGTGGGAGAGAGAGGCAGAACATGAATGAATGAATGAGAGAATGAATGAATGAGTGAATGATGGAATGAGTGAATGAATGAATGAATGAATGTATGAATTAGTGAGTGAATCCTTAGCACTTGGTGAAAGTGCCATGCACAGAATGAAATGAATGAACGTGGAACGTTGTCATTTGGAGTGTACAGGAGGGAACGTCTCACTGAGACCTCATCAGAGAGATCACATTTAAACTCCGATCTTAGAGACAAGAGGGAGTGAGCCCTGGGGAGTGTGTTGAAAGGAACTTTCATGGACTTAGGACATTGGGGATGACCCTAATGTGAGAATGAGCTTGGTGTGTTCCAAGAAGTCCATGGACCTGCCATATGGTGAGGGCTGGTCAGAATCCAGAGAGATTTCTAAATGCCCTTGTGCTTGTAAGGAAAGTGAGTCCTGTGGTTGGGAGTGGACTTATACCTTGGGTCAGGTCCAGCAATTATCTTTCTAAATCCTCTCTAATTGCCTGAACCACTTCTATCAACAACTGAGAAAAGAGGAGTGTTAAACACCCCACTGTGGCCGTGGATTTGCCTACCTGTCCATTTATTTCCGCGACTCTTCCTCCATGTATATTTGCAGGAATATTACTGGGAGTGGTTAAGTGTAAACTGATTATATATTCCTGGTAAATTTAAAATGCTATAAATTTACCTGCTTTTTTCCTACATTTTATGCTTAATGTTTTCCGCTGATTTTTCCCAAAGACTAATTTTGTCTAATTTTAATATAGTTATACCACATTTCTAACAGTGATTGCTTGGTATATTTCTACATTGTTTAATTTCAAACTCCATGAATTGTTAACATTGAGATGTGTCCTTTGTAAATTTCAAACAATTCGCCTTAGAAAGTAAGACTTTCTGACAATCTTTTGTTCATGTTTGAGCAGTTCTTCCAATCATATTTTTGTTATTATTACGTTGTGTTTTCCTGATTCCCTTTTTTTCCCACTGACTTCTGTGGTTTTCTATTTCAAACATTCTATTTTTGATCTATGTCGTTTAGGAATACATATATGGTGTACTCATCCTGAAGTTGTTACATATTTTTAAAATTGAAATTAATCATTTCAGAGATTAAACTGCAAATATAAAAACATATTTCCACTCTTCCTGTGTAAGAACAGGATTTTAGAGCATATTTAGTACATATGTTTGTATTTACTTATATGATGTTTTGTTTTGTGGTATACATAATTCTATCTTTTTCAGAAATTACACAGGGGCATGTTTTCATACACTATCGTATGGTCCATATTCATTTTTGGCATAGCCATATTTTTAGTTCTTCCTCTGCTCTTAGTTATTGTCAGAATCTTCGACACCCCATCTGGTTTCACTTTCTTTATCTTTGAGGCACGGTCATCAGAATTTCCTTTAGGGTCAGTGAGAAAAGCTTTCTTTGCCCTTTTGTCTTTCAGTTCTGTTTCTTTCCTGCGTTGATCTTGGACAGTAACTGTACTATGTAAGGAATTGTCGGTGGCTGGCGACGGTATCTTAGCTGGGTAAAGATGCTATTCTACTGGCTTATGTTTTCCTTTTTTCTGTGGGGAAGACAATGCTTGGCTCCCTATAAATCCTTACCAGCTGATCCTTTTCCTCTGGCTAATTTTAAGGGTTGGTTGTGCTTTTATGCTGCTTTTCTGTAATGTTGAACGTGAGGTGTGTTTACTTCATTCTGCCTGGCATTCACTGGATTTCTTGAACCTGTGGATTGATGGATGTGTCTACTTCCTCCAAATAATCAACAATTGCCTCTTTAAAGATTGCTTCTGACCTGTTTTCTCGTTCTTTCTTTTTGGAACTCAAGTTAGGAGCATTCTAAAACTGTTGTCAATTTTTACCCTGTCACAAAACTGCTCTTTCTTGTTTCAGTTATTTGCTTTTTCTGTGCATTAATATTGATGGTTTCCTCTGTCATAGAGGATAAATACTCTCTTCACTGTTGTGTACACAACATTTTAACTAGTTATTCTGGTTTAAATTTAATATTGACTTTATCTACATATCACAATTGATTACTGTGTACAGACTTTCTTTTCTATTAGTATAAATTTATGAGGTACACTTGTAATTTTGTGACATGAGTATGTTGCAGAGTAGTGAAGTCAGGACTTTTACTATATCCATCACCCAAATACCGTACATTGTACTCATTAAGCAAATTCTCATCACTCACCCACGTCCCGCCACCCTCCAGCCTTCTAGCCTCCGCTGTCCGTCATTCCACACTCTACGTCCATATGTACACATTACTCCCCTCCCATGTAGAGTGAGAAGATGTGGTATTTGTCTTTCTGAGTGGTTTTATGTAAAATAATGGCGTCCAGCTCCATCTATGTTGCTGCAAAAGACATGGTTTTATTTTTATGACCAAATAGTATTTCGTTGTGTATACACGCATCCTTTTTTTAATCCAATCATTCATTCACAGACACTTAGATTGATTTCATATCTTTGCTATTGCAAACAGTGCTGCAATAAACATACAGGTGCAGATATTTTTTGAGTAGATACCCAGCAGCGGGACCCCTAGATCGAATGGTGCTTCTATTTTTGGTTCTCTGCCAAATTTCCATACTGTCTTCCATAGAGGCTATACTAATTTACATACCGGCCAACAGTGTATAAGAGTTTCCTTTTCTCTGCATCCTTGCCAACACCTGTTATATGTTTCACTTTTTCTTTTTTTCTTTTTGAGATGGAGTCTTCCACTGTCACCCAGGCTGGAGTGCAGTGCCGCCATCTCCACGCGCTGCAACCTCCACCAACCAGGTTCAAATGATTCTCCTGCCTCAACCTCCTGAGTAGCTGGGATTACAGAACCACACCACCATGCCCAGCTAATCTTTTGTATATTTAGTAGAGATGGGGTTTCACTATGTTGGTCAGGCTGGTCTCAAACTCCTGACCTCATGATCCACCCGCCTCAGCTTCCCAAAGTGCTGGGATTACAAGCGTGAGCCACCACTCCCCACCAGCATTTTTAGTAATAGCCATTCTGACTACTGTAAGATGATATCTCATTGTGGTTTCAATTTGCATTTCTCTGATGATTAGTGATGTTCATACGCTGTTTGGCCATTCGTATGTCTTCTTTTGAAAAATGTCTATGTATATCCCTTTGCCCACTTTTTAATGCTATTATTTGAGGGGTTATGTTTAGTTGTTTGAGTTGCCTAGAAATTCTGGATGTTAGTCCCCTGTTGGGTGCATAGTTTGCAAACATTTCCATTCATTCTGTGGGTTGTCTGTTCACCCTGCTACTATTTCCTTTGCTTGGCAGAAGCTCTTTCGTTTATTAAGTCCCATTGGTCTAGTTTTATTTTTATTGCCTGTGCTTTTGAGGTCTTAGTGATGAATTCTTTGCCCAGACCAATGCCCAGAAGAGTTTCTCTTTGGGTTTCCACCGGTGATTTTATAGTTCTGGATTTACATTTAAGCTGCTAATTACCTTAAGTTAATTTATGTGTATGATTACAGATACAGGTCCAGTTTTATTCTTCTGCATATGGCTATTTAGTTTTCCCAGCACCTTTTATTGAAAAGGAAATCTTTCTCCAGGGTATGTTTTGTTAACGTCGTCAATGATTATTCACTGTAGATATGAGGCTGTATTTCTGGGCTCTCTATTCTGGTCTATTGATCTCTGTTTCTGTGTCTATACCAGCACTGTGCTATTTAAGTTACTATAGCCTTAGAGCATAGTTTGAAGTCAGATAGCGTGATGCCTCCAGGTTTCTACATTCACCTAGAATTGCTTTCTCTATTAGGATCTTTTTTGGTTCTGTATGAATTTTAGGATTGCTTTTTCTAATTCTGTGAAAACTGGTGTTACTATTTTCATATAAGAATTGCACTGAATCTGTAGATTGCTTTAGGCAGTATGGTCATTTTAACAATATTAATTCTTATGATCCATGAGCGTGGGATTTTTTTTCTTTTTTTTTTTTGTATTATCTATAATTGCTTTCATTGGTGTCTTACACCTTTCCTGGTACAGATCTTTCACCACCTTGGTTAAATGTATTCCTGAGTGTTTTAATTTTGCGTATCTATTGTAAACGGCATTGCCTTCTTGATTTGGTTCTCAGCTAGATCATTATAGGTGTAGAGAAATGCTACCGGCTTTTACATATTGATTTTGTATTCTGAAACTTTACTTAGTTCATTTATCAATCATAAGAATTTTTGGCAGGGTCTTTAGGATTTTCTAGATTTAAGATCATAGCATCAGAAATAAAAATAATTTTACTTCCTCTTTTCTAATTTGGATTTTTACTTCTTCCTGTTGCCCAATAGCTCTGACAAGGCTTCCAGTACTATGTTGATAGGAAGTGGTGGATGTCCGTGTCCTTGTCTTGTGCCAGTTCTCAGAGGAGTGCTTTTAACTTTTCCTGTTCAGTATGATGTTGACTCTAGATATGTCATCTATGGCTTTTATTATTTTGAGGTATGTTCTTTCTATGCCTAAGTTTTTGAGGGTTTTCATCAGGTAAGGATGTTGAATTTCTTTTCAGATGCTTTTCTTTATGTCTATTGAGATGATCATATGGTTTTTGTTCTGGATTCTGCTCGTTCTTCTAAGTGGATGAGACATGCCAGAAAAGCATTTAGTCAGCCATCTTGGAAACAAGCATCTCAGATGTTTTCTTTCTCTATAGCTCATTCTTTCTTACCAGTGTTTTCAATTTTGTACTTAATTTTGTAAAGAGAGTAAATGATATAATTTCCACATATGTTTCCTCTGCCAAATCAGACTCACTATGCTTCCTTTCCTTGTATGCATAACCTACCCAGCAATACACACAAACATTTATTGCTTTGGAGAATTAGTTTGGGAACATTTTTGAAATGTACAAAAAAATGTATATCTTCAAAAGAAATTTCTTTTTGTGGCAAAAGACTTCTGAAGGTGCTCATGATGATATAGGGAGAAGAGGGGTTCTGGACAGGAAGAATTTTATGAAGGTGAGATGGGGAAATAGCTCCATTTCAGAGCTTCTGGGGAGAGAGGGGCCTGGCCCACATGGAAAGGTCTCTGATCTTACCCCCACCCTCCAGCCCCTGTTCTCCAGAACTATACTGTGGAGAGTTCCATCAGGATTGTTGTGGCTGGTCTGGTCTTCCTGGCTCTTTTGGCAATGCTGGCTAAGACCTGGTGGAGACATGAGGGGCCACAGGTGGAAATGGAAGAAACATGACTGAAGCTGGCTGGAGTGAATGGCGCGACATTCTGTCTGTGGGAGATTGGCCAGATGGGTTTCAAGTGTGTTGTATCAGCTGTGACTTTTAGTAATGTTCTTGCTACCACAATATCCACTCGTCCATCCCGAATAATTGTGATGAAATATTGTCCTTGGGATAATATTCATTTGCTAAAGACAGGGATGATACCTCAAGGTGCCACTATATACATCGAGGGGATCCACAAAAGTCCATTCAGTAAAATGTAGTTGGCATCTTAGGGTAGGTTGATTCCACCTCTAAAAAAGTAGGTACAACATCAGGTTGATTTTTCCGAAGAAAAGTGGTGATTGGCCATCTTTAGTCTCAATGTAAACGGTAATACTGATGAGTGTGGAAAAGGCAGGGAAGAGGATTGACAATAAGTGACACTCATTGTTTTCATCTGAGCTTTGAGACTGAAAGAGGAACACAGGAGTGAGATGTATGGGAACAAACCCCTTCTTTTTCCAGCTAAACAGAGTGGAAGTTGGACACTGAGTTTTGGCGTACAGCAAAATCCTAAGTCCATTGTTGGGTTGAACACGGCCATGTTGTACATCCTGGTTTCACAGCAGACACTGGAGGAAAACAGCCTGTATTCATAAGAGGCTGTCCCTCGGGTCACTGCCCAGAATATCCGGAGTTGGTGCTCACAGGGTTGGGAACTCTCCTGGACCAGACAGGCTCTGGATATGGGGGGGTACCAAGCTCCCCGGGGCCATGCCTCCACAGCTCTCTTCTCACCTCATTCTTGACCATTTCCCAAACCTCTGACCTCACCTTCATTCATCCATGGTGAACACGCTAAAGCTGGCCTTCAAAGCTTGAGACAGAGGAAAATTGGGCTTCATCTCTGGGAACTAAATTGGGGAGTGGAGACTCAGTTCTGGCCTGACAGGAGGGAGAAGACCCTGGATCCCAGTGTGGATGGGAAGAAGTATGTGTTTCTCTTTTGTGCTTGGACCCTGTGTCCAAGCATGTCTGAGATGTGATGAAGATGAATCTTCCTTTCCTTGTCTATTTTCTCATGCCAGAGAATTGGAATCTTATATTCCATTAACTCTTTCTGTTCTGTTCATCCAGATTCTATGAAGGAGAAAGGAAAAGATGTGATACTGTAATTTTGCTCCATTTGTCTAAAATGAGTAGGCTGCAACTCCTCTTGAAGTGATACCTTTTCTAGCTCTTGTTGGAGGTGTCTCAGGACTCATTACTTCGGGGAACCTGCAACTGTGTCAGTCTGGGGAAACTGCAAATATTCTTGTCTTACATTTGTCTCCAGCCAATTGTGATGGACTCCAGTGACCTGCAATTGCTGTTATTGCAGGTAAAATGTACCTGAGTCAGGCCACAGTTCTCCTGGACTATGAGCCCCTGGCCATGTTCCTGAGGCAATTCTGTTCATCTAAATATAATAATAATAACACACTAAAAATGGCAAGCCATTGTTAATTCCTGAAGTCTCATTTGAAAATTACTAAATGTCTGTTATTTTTTGGTGTTTACATTATATGTAGACAGATAAACTACACACACACACACACACACACATGCACACAGAAGAATGGATTGGTTCATGTAGAAAAGTAAATAATTCAAGATGAAAGGATGAAATGTCATGGCACCTACTATTCTATTTTAGATAAAGGGTCTATGAAAAGATTGATTTCTTTTTATGTTTTATTTGTTGACATTTGAACACAAACTATGTAAGTGAGGGAGTCGATTTGAAAGGGAGAAGAGCAAGTTCAAACACATTCAGGTGAGGTCATGCTTTACATGTTTTAATTGAAATGATCCATCTTGGGAGTAGATCAATAACTGAGATGGTGCCAGGAATGTTAAAAAGCTTTTGTCAGTCCTAAATATTGACAAATAAAATTTAATTAAAGTCTTAGAAGAAAACACAAAGGAAAACTTCACAACATCGGATTTGGCAGTGATTCTTTAGATGTGACAACAACGGCACAGGCTACTACAGAAAAAATAAACAAGTTAGACTTTATGAAAATTTTGAAATATTGTGACTCAAAAGACAACATCAGTTACTTCACATGGCAAGGAAAAAGAACTTTTAAGACGATATTATCAAAGTAAAAAGACAACCCACAGAATGGGAGAAAATGTTTTCAAACCACACCACCTGTAAGGGATTAACATCCAGAATATACAGACAACTCCTAAAACTCAATCACAATAAACTCAATTCAAAAATGGGCAAAGTACTGAAACAGACATTTCTCCAAAGAACATACGCATGAAAAGATATTCAGCATCACGAATCATTAGGGAAATACTAACTAAAACTACACCAGATGCCATTTCATACCCCTTAGGATGGGTATCATCAAAACAACAACAACAACAACAACAAAGTTTCTATACATTAACAACAAACTATCCAAAAAAGTTTACAAGAAAATAAGCCCATTTGCAATAACTACAGAAAACAAAACATGCAGGAATAAATTCACCCAAGGAGTAGAAAGATCTGTATGCAAAAGCTATAAAACATTGATGAAAAAACTCAAGAAATAAACAAATAAATCGAAAGATATTCCATGTTCACGGATCAGAAGGATTAATGTTGTTAAAATGTCCATTCTATCCAAAGTGATTCAATGCAACCATTATCAAAAATCCAATGACATTTTTTTTACAGAAATAGAAAAAACAGTCCTAAAATTCATGTGGAACCACAAAAGATCTCAAATAACCAAAGCCATCTAGAGGGAAAGGAACAAAGTTGGAAGCATCACATTACCTAAACACAAACTACATTACAAAATTACAGTAATTAAAACAACACAGTACTTGCATAAAAACAGACACATAGACCAATGGAAGTGATTCATAGCCCAGGAAAAAAATGCATGCATTTAGGGTCAAACAATTTTTGGGATGTGTCAAGAACACACAATGGAGAAGGAACAGTCTCTTTAATAAATGGGATTGGGAGACTGCATGTCCACATGCAGAAGAATGGAAGTGGACATTTGCCTCACAAAACATACAAAGTCAACTCAAGATAGATTAATGACTTAAATGTAAGATGAAAGACTATAATCCCAGCAATTTGGGAGGCCAAGGTGGGCAGATCACCTAAGGTCAGGATTCCAAGACCAGCATGGCCAACATGGTGAAATCCCGCCTCTACTAAAAATACAAAAACAGCTGGGTGTGGTTGTGGGTGCCTGTAATCTCAGCTACTCGGGAGGTTGAGACAGGAGAATCACTTGAACCCAGGAGGTAGAGGTTGCAGTGAGCCGAGATCGCACCACTGCACTCCAGCCGGGGCAACACAGTGAGACTCCATCTTAAAAAAAAAAAAAAAACTACTAAAAGAAATCAAGGGAAAACTCCACTGGCTTGGGCAAAACCATTTTGGATATTAACCCAAAGGCCCAGGCAACAAAAGCAAAAGTAGACAAATAACATTATATCAAATTGAAAGTTTCTGCAAAGAAAAAAAAAACTCAACAAGTGGAAAGACAACCTATGGAATGGGAGAATATATTTGCACCCATACATCTAATAAGGAATTAATATCCAAAATATATAAGAAACTCAAACAACTCAATGGTAAGAAATCAAATAACCCAACTTAAAAAAATGGGCAAAGTATCTGAATAAACATTTCTAAGAATAAGACAAATCACCAAAAGGTATATGAAAAAATGATTAGCATTACTAAACATCAGCTAAATAAAAATTAAAACTAGAATGAGATATCACCTCACACCTCTTAGAATGACCATTAACAGTCTGGGCATGGTGGCTCATGCCTGTAATTCAGGCACTTTGGGAGGCCGAGGCAGGGAGATTACCTGAGGTCAGCAGTTCGAAACCAGCCTGGCCAATATGGTGAAACCCCATCCCTACTAAAAATACAAAAATTAGCAGAGTTTGGTGGCGCACACTTGTAGTCCCAGCTACTCTGGAGACTGAGGCAGGGGAATCGCTTGAACCCAGGAGGCAGAGGTTGCAGTACACCGAGATTGTGCCACTGCACTCCAGCCTGGGTGACAGAGCAAGACTGAGTCTCAAAAAAAAAAAAAAAAAAAGACCATTATCAAAAACATAAAAAATAACAAGGGTTAACGAGGATGTGGAGAAAAGGGAACATTTGTATGCAGTTGATGGGAATGTAAATTAGCACAACCATTATGGAAAACAGTCTGGAAGTTCCTGAAAAAATTAAACATAGAATTCCCATATGTGTCTGCAATCCAACTACTGCGCATGTATCCAAAGGAAGTGGAATCAGTATGTTGAAGAGATATCTGCATTCCCATGTTTACAGCCGCATTATTCATAACAGCCAAGATGTGGAATCACCCTTACTGCCCATCTATGGGTGCATGGACAAAGAAAACGTGGTATACGATAGGAACGTAATGAAGTACTATACAACCTTTACAACAAAGAAGGAAGTCCTCTCATTTGTGACAATGTGAAAAAACTTAGAGGACATTATGTTAAGGGAAACAATCCAGGCACAGAAAGACAAATGCCACATGATCTCATGTGTGGAGTGTAAGAAGTGGAACCTAGAGGAACAGTAAAATGGTCGTCGAAAGAACCTGGGATGGAGAGAGATTGAAGAGATGTTGGTCAAAGGATGCAAAATTTCAGTTAGAAGAAATCGGTTCAAGAGATCTATTGTATGTCTTGGTGACTCCAGTTAATAGCAACATATGGTGTATTGAACATTACTAAGAGATTAGATTTTACATGTTCTCACCACACACACAAAACATACAAGTATGTGAAAAAATAAATATGATAAAGAGGTTGTTTCATCCATTCCACAATGTGTACCTATATGAAAACATCATGATGGACACCACAAATACCCTTTTCCTCATTAATTAAATTTGTTTTGGTTTTTTTTTTGAGATGCAGTTTCACTGTTGTTGCCCAAGCTGAGGTGCAATGGCGTGATCTCCGCTCACTGCAACCTCTGCCTCCCAGGTTCAAGCGGTTCTCCTGACTCAGCCTCCCAAGCAGCTGGGACTACAGTTGCGTACCACCCCGTCCGGCTATATTTGTGTTTCTAGTAGAGACAGGGTTTCGCCATGTTGGCCAGGCTGGTCTCGAACTCCAGACCTCAGGTGATCCACCCGCTTCGCCCTCCCAAAGTGCTAGATTTCAGGCTGAGACACCACACCCAGCCTGTACATTGACTTTCTGCCCTTAAACTGTGCTGAAGTTTGTTTCTCAGATGTAGGAGCCTTTGGGCAGAGACTATGGGGTTTCTAGGTATAGAAATTATCTCATCTTCAAACAGAGGTAATTTGACTACCTCTCTCTGCTACTCTCTTCTTACTTGGATGCCTTATAATTCTTTCTCTTTCCTGATGGCTCTGTCTAGGACTTCAAGTACTATGTTGAATAGGATGGTGAGAGTGGGCATTCTTGTCTTGTTTCACTTATGAAGGGAACTTCTTCCAGCTTTTACTCATTCAGTATGATGTTGGTTGTGGGTTTGTCACAGGCGGCTCTTATTATATTGAGTTATGTTTCTTCAATGCTTAGCTTGTTGAGGGCTTTTAACATGAAGAAATGCTTAGTAAAAAGTATGTTCTACATGTGTGTTGAGAAGATCATGTGGTTTTTGTTTTTAGTTTTGTTTAGGTGATGAATCACATGTATTGATTGTGTATGTTCAACCAACCTTGCACCCTAAGAATAAAGTTGACTTGATCATGGTGGATTCACTTTTTGATATGCTGCGGGATTCAGTTCTTAGTATTTTTTGTGGATTTTTGCCTCTATGTTCATCAGGAATATTGGCATGTAGTTTTCTTTTGTTTAATGTTCTTTTCTGTCTTTAGTATCAGGGTGATGCCAGCCTTATAGAATGAGTAAAGGCCACCCTGGGCAAACAGTGAGACCCATCCCTTTTTAAAAATTATGAGTTTTACAAATTTAAAATGCATAGTGAAAAAGTTCTTACAAACTCCAGAAAGGTAGGTGTAAATAAGAGACATTTGTAAGAATGACAGCACATTAAATGTGTAGATTTCAACCTTCAGTTATTGCAATATTCCAGTATCAAGTTGGAGGATGTTATCAGTCTGATATTTTTTCCTCAAATGAGAGAGAGAAAGAAAGACACACAAACAACACAGGGAGAAAAAAAGCACACGTTACAGAGAGACAAAAAGGGAGACAGGGAACTGTGAATTTGGACTCTTGTGTCATAAGACAAATTCTAGATAACACGACCAGACCTTCAATTGACATATTGTGTTTTTGCTAATAAGGTGGAATTCTATGATGCGAAATAACTATATAGTCTTTTCTACTGGGATTTAAATCATTTTATCTGTTTCTGGCTTAACAGGAAAAATACAACCATGGAAAATTATGATGATTTATTTAATACGATTGCTCTATAGTGTTAATAAAACCTATTAGGTATTTTGCATATTACATATCAAGGAGAGTTTGAATCTCAGGTAGAAACAAAAAAAAATACATCAAAAGTTCCTCATGTGAGTGCAGAATTCAATCGTCCCGTGCAGGGGTAAGTGAGTCTGAGATGTGTTTTGAGCCTGGCCGTTGCGCATGATGTGAAGTGACAAGTCTAGTCTGCAGTTTTCAGAAACCCTCATTCCTCCCTTGACTGATTCACCACTTGAACCTCATATGACGTAGAAGAAGCCTACCTATGTCCCCTTCACATGTTGTGGTCAATGTGTCAACTGCACGATCCGGGCCCCTCACCACATCCTCTGCACCGGTCAGTCGAGCCGAGTCACTGCGTCCTGGCAGCAGAAGCTGCACCATGTCCATGTCACCCACGGTCATCATCCTGGCATGTCTTGGTGAGTCCTGGAAGGGAAGGAGCACCAGGGTTACACTATGGGCCTGCAGATTGGGTGTCTCCCCAGCAGAGAGCCATGTTCTGAAGCAAGTGAGTGGTGAGGATGAGTTAATTTTCAGTCCAGCGTGGCGCCCAGTGGCTCAGGAGGAAAGGGTAGGTTGCTGCCGAGATGAATAGTTCCTCATGATCTTTCTTTGCAGGGTTCTTCTTGGACCAGAGTGTGTGGGCACACGTGGGTGAGTCCTTCCCCAAATGATGGGTTGCCATCTTCACCCCAATACAAGTGAATTTTCCGGAAATGGGAGGGAGGCAGCACAGAGGGTGGGCTGATGGGCTGACCATGGGAAGGCCTGGGGGGAGTCTCTCATGAACTAGTAAGAGGAGATCCTGGGAGTCTCTCATGAACTAGTAAGAGGAGATCCTGGGAGTCTCTCATGAACTAGTAAGAGGAGATCCTGGTATGCTCAGCCTTCTGTTTTGTCTTAGCCCTCCCCAGCCTTTCTTCCCCATGGCTGAGTTGAGCTCTGTGTGGCCCAGGCGGGATACTGAGGTGCTCAAAGCTGGGGTGTGTGGGGGGATGTGGTGTCACCGACAGAGGAGGGAAGGGTAGCAGTGTTAGGAACAGCAGGTCCTCTGAGGACAAGAGGGTAACTCACACCCTCCAGCGTTTCCATGACGGTAGGGGCTGCAGTGTGGCTGCTGTCATTCTGCCAGAAGAGGTGGGGGAACCACAGCCACGACCCTGCCATTCCAAATCCTCTGATGGAGCTCAGTTGTTTATTGTGGTTCAGGCATTAGCTAATATTCCATTCACAAAGGTCATACCCTCCACCCCATGTCTACTTTGTGTTGTTTGGTGTAACTAATCTTGCAGTATTAAAATCTAGTAAGAGTCCCTTACTCAGCACCTGCTCAGTTCTCAACTGACACTTTTGTTGTAGGGAGACGCCACGTCTATGCGGGATGGGTCCTTCCTGTAGCCCCAGGCACCCAGGTGTGGTAGGAGCCTTAGAAAGAAGAAATGGGGAGAATCTTCTGAGCACAGGGAGGGAGGGGCAGCTCAACATACTCCTCTCTGAGGCGGCATCTCCTTCTCCCCAAGGTGGTCAGGACAAGCCCTTCTGCTCTGCCTGGCCCAGCGCTGTGGTGCCTCAAGGAGGACACGTGACTCTTCGGTGTCACTGTCGTCGTGGGTTTAACATCTTCACGCTGTACAAGAAAGATGGGGTCCCTGTCCCTGAGCTCTACAACAGAATATTCTGGAACAGTTTCCTCATTAGCCCTGTGACCCCAGCACACGCAGGGACCTACAGATGTCGAGGTTTTCACCCGCACTCCCCCACTGAGTGGTCGGCACCCAGCAACCCCCTGGTGATCATGGTCACAGGTCAGAGGGCTCCTGTCTGGGCTTCTCCTTGTCCCACCTCCTGAGTCCCAGAGCTTCTGGTGGGGGTGTCCACCAGAGTCCGATCATCCAGGCCCCAACTATATTTGGGGTAAAGGGGGATTGAATACAGGGGAATGGGTGCTGTGTTGGAAAGAATAACTGTCCCCATCGATGGCCACATTGTAATCCTTGGAGCCTGTGACTATGTTATAGGGCAGGGGACTGAAGGGGAAGATGGAGCTCAGGTTGTTGATGAGTTGACCTTGAGATGGGGAGATGGCCTGGACCCTCCCACTGGGCTCAGTGTAATCACAAGGGTCCATATGAGTGGAGAAGGAAGAGGAGAATGGGGATTAGAGCAGCATCGTGGGATACTCCACCAGCCACTGTGGGCTTTGAAGGTGGAGGAAGACCACGAGCCACGAAGGGGCTGGAGAAATCAATGGAACTGATTCTCCCGAGTCTCCAGAGGGAATGCAGCCCTGCAGATGCCTTGATTGTAGCCCAGGAAGAACAGGGTCTGATTTCTGTCTCCAGAAGTGGAAGGGGTCAGTGTGTTCTCTCCTGCCGCCATGTTTGTGATAATTTTCTCCAGCAACATCAGGAAACCAACACAGGAACCCAGGTGAAGGACAAGTTAAAAAACCAAACAAGAAGGTTGGCTACCCTGAGATCAGCAAGGGTGCACTGCTGATGCCACCACCAGGCTGGAACCACATAGGGAGGGATCGACAGGAAGAGTTGGGGGTGGAGGGTGAGAGAGAGAGAGAGAGAGAGAGCACTAGGCCATAGAGCAGGGCAGTGAGTTCTCAGCTCAGGTGGGAGGGGAGCTGTGACAAGGAAGAACCTCCCTGAGGAAACTGCCTCTTCTCCTTCCAGGTCTATATGAGAAACCTTCGCTTACAGCCCGGCCGGGCCCCACGGTTCGCGCAGGAGAGAACGTGACCTTGTCCTGCAGCTCCCAGAGCTCCTTTGACATCTACCATCTATCCAGGGAGGGGGAAGCCCATGAACTTAGGCTCCCTGCAGTGCCCAGCATCAATGGAACATTCCAGGCCGACTTCCCTCTGGGTCCTGCCACCCACGGAGAGACCTACAGATGCTTCGGCTCTTTCCATGGATCTCCCTACGAGTGGTCAGACCCGAGTGACCCACTGCCTGTTTCTGTCACAGGTGAGGAAAGCCAATGTCTGTCCCATGTCCTATGGTCCTAGAGCCTTAGCTGAGGAGCTTCCTGCTGATGATGGAGAGAAGCATGGACAGATGTGGAGAGAAGATGCAGCATGGTGTGAGGGTGGGATCAGGGCACAGGATGGCAGACAGGGCACCTCCAAACCCTCCTGCATGGCCTGCATGGAAGCTTGCAGTAAGGGCTCCGGGTACCCAGGCAGATGGAGAAAGTGGTCAGGACAGACCCAGAGGAGGGAGACTGGGCTCAGTTTGGGGAGATCAGAGGTTCCCTCAGCCCCTCAACCTTACCCATTTCCCAGAAGCCCACCCTGGCCTCTCACCTACACAGAGATGTCATCACCAGCAACCCCTACACTTTTTCTTTTCCTTTGAAAAAATGCTGATTGAGGTTAAATATACCTATATAATTTATCAACTTTACCATTTTTAAGTGTAAAATCTAGGGATCATAAATACCTTTATATGCTGTGTGCGGTGGCTCACGCCTGTAATCTCAGCATTTTGAGACGCCAAGGCAGGTGGATCATTTAAAATCAGGGGCTGGAGACCAGCCCGGCCAACATGGGGGAACCAATCTTTACTAAAAAGACAAAAAAAATAAAATTAGCCAGGCATGGTGCCAGGCGCCTATAATCCCAGCAACTTGGGAGGCTGAGGCGGGAGAGTGGCTTAAACCCAGGAGGAGGAGGTTGCAGTGAGCTGAGATCATGCCACTGCACTGCAGCCTGGTGACACAGAGAGACTCTGTCTCTAAATAAATAAATAAATACTTTTATATTCTTCTTTTGTTACCCTCCACCCCTTCCTTCCTAACCTCTGGTATCCACCATTCTACTCTCTACCTTCATGAGGTCCACCTTTTACATCCTGCATGTGAGTAAGAAATGGCAATCCTTGTAATGACCTCCAGTCCATCCATGTGGCTGCAAATGACAGGACGTTTCTCTTTGTATGG
Source organism: Homo sapiens (assembly GCF_000001405.40). NCBI lineage: Eukaryota > Metazoa > Chordata > Mammalia > Primates > Hominidae > Homo > Homo sapiens. The sequence goes on along the minus strand of NT_113949.2, from coordinate 82,169 downwards.
ATGAGTTGTCTCCATTGTGTGTATGTACTACATTCTCTCTATCCATTCATCCACTGATGGGCAGGTAGGTTGACTCCACATCTTGGCTACTGTGAACAGTGCTGGAACAGTCATGGGAGTGCAGATGTCACTTCAATACACTGAAGTCCTTTTCTTTGCATTTACACCCACTAGTGGAATTGCTAGATCCTCTGGATGTTCTCTTTTTAGGTTTTGTTTTATGCTTTTTGTTTTTTTGACATAGCGTTTCACTCTTGTTGCCCAAGCTGGAGTGCAATGGCACCACCTGGGCTCACTGCAACCTCTACCTCCAGGATTCAAGTGATTCTCCAGCCTCAGCCTCCCGAGTAGTTGGGATTACTGGTGCCCGCCACCACGCCTGGCTGATTTTTGTATTTTTAGTAGAGACGGGGTTTCACCATGTTAGCCAGGCTGGTCTCGAACTCTTGACCTCCAGTGATCTGCCCACTTCAGCCTCCCAAGGTGCTGGGATTACAAGCGTGAGCCACAGTGCCTAATCTCTTTTTAGTTTTTAAGGAACTTCCATATTCTTCTCCTCTGTAATGGCTGTATTAATTTACATTCCTATCAACAGTGTATCAGGGTTCTCCTTTCTCCACCACCTTGCCAACATTTGTTTTGTCTGTCTCTGAGATAAAACCCATTGTAATGGGGTGAGATGATAGCTCATTGTGACTTCATTTGCATTTCTCTGATGATTAGTGATACTGAGCACTTTTTCATATATGCAATGTATATATGTTCATTTGTATGTTTTGTTCATTGAGAAATGTCTGTTCAGGTCTTTTACTAATTTTATAATTAAATTATTAGTTTTATTGAGGTGTTTGAGCTTCTTTTATATTCTAGTTATTAATCCCATCTCAGATGCATAGTTTGCAAATATTTGCTCCCATTCTGTGGGTTGTCTCTTCTTCACTTCATTGGTTGCTTCCTTTGCGGTGCAGAAGCTGCTTGATTTGATATAATCCCAATGGTCTATTTTTTTGTTGTTGTTGTGATTACTTGTGTTTTTGAGGTTTTAAACAAAATGTCTTCCCTCAGACAAATGTCCTGGAGCATTTCTCCAGTGTTTCCTTTTAGACATTTAATGGATTCAGGTCTTAAGTCATTAATCCATTTTCATCTGATTTTTGTGTATGGTGAGAGGTAGAGGTGCAGTTTCATCCCTCTGCATGTAGATATCCAGTTTTCCCTGCACCATTTATTGAAATGACTGTCCTTTCCAGATTGTAGATTCTTCGAACCTTTGTCAAAGTCCATTGGATGTAAATGGGTGGATTACATCCGTGTTCTTCATTCTGCTCCATTGTTTTATGTGCTTTTCTTTATGCCAATGTCATGTTGTTTTGCTTACTACAGCTCTGTAACATATTTTTAAGTCAGGTAGTGTGATGCTCCTGTTTTCTCCTTATACCTTGAAGTCTCAAGATAGTTGGTGTCACCTACAATGATTATGGAGAATGGGATGCCAGGACTCCCAGGGCCCAACATTAGATAATAGAATGTTGGCCATGAACCAACCTCAAAGATTTCCATTGAGTAGAAGACAGGCATCCTCATTGCCACACCTCTCTCCTGTCCCATGTTCTAGGAAACCCTTCTAGTAGTTGGCCTTCACCCACTGAACCAAGCTTCAAAACTGGTAAGTGAAGGACCCCTCTTATCTCTGCTTTTGGAAACCTGGGGAGGTAGAAGCCTTGGATTCAAGCGTTGGCTCAGCACCTGCCAGCTCTGTGATTGTGGGCCTGTCTTCCATTGTCTCTGAACCCCAGACACTCCAACAGCGAAAGGGATCTGGGCCCAGCACAGGGCTCAGTGAAATCTCTTAATCTCTAATTTTCTGCTGCTGAGACCTCAGGGTAGAAGGATGAGTGCAAATCAGACATTCTTCTCAGGAAAAATGCTGTGTTTGTTCTGCCTGCATTCCTAACTGGGAGGACAAATGCCTGGGGGCTTGAGAAGGGGAAGGACGGGGAACATTTTTGAGGGTGGTGTATTTGTAGAGAAGTTCTACTTGCCAAGGAATGAGCTCCTGTCTGTCATGATCCAACCCTGGTTGACTTAGTGGAACAAGAGCTTTGCGGTAAGAGAGAACGTAGTTCATCCGTGCACATGACACTTCCACTTACTCGTTCAGCCACTGCCCCATGCTCAGACTGTGCAGTGTGGAACCTTTTCCTATGTTGCCATAACAAATTTCCACAAGCTTCGTGGATGGAAACCACATTTTAAAAAAATATCTCATGGTGCTGTAGCTCAGAAGTATGAAATGCATCATCTCACTGGGCTAAAATCAAGGTGACAGCAAGGCTGCCTTCCCTCTGAATGTTCCAGGCAAGAATCTGCTTCCTCACTTTTCCCAGCTCCTAGAGGCTCCCACATTCCTTGGCTCCTGGTCCCCGTCTTCCTCCCTCAAAGTCCACAAAGGCTGGTCACGCCTCTCACACGGCATCACTCAGACCCTTCTTCCTTGTCCACACCTCTTTCTCTGAATGCTGCTCTGCCTTCTTCCTCATCTTTTAAGGACTTTGGCATTCTATTGGAAACACCAAGATAATCCATCATAATTTCCCTAAAATCATCTAGGATACCCTCCTTTTAAGGTTAGCTGATTAGCAACCGTAATTCCATCTGCAATCTGCATTCCTTTTTTCCATGTAAAATAACATATTCACAAGATATGGCGACTAGGACAGGAACATTTTGGGGTGGGGCGGCATTCTTATCCTTTCCACAAATGGTAAACAAGGTGCATTTGGCCTCTGCTCTTGGACACTGATATTGCAAAGGATTAAATGGGAGGGCAGAAAATGAATGCACCAGTGGACCAATAAATGAATGATCCATTGGGAAGCATCTGTGCATGAGAATGATTGATTGATTGGTTGTTTTTATGAGACGGTGTCTCCCTCTGTGCCCCAGGCTGGAGTGCAGTGGCGGGATCTCGGCTCACCGCAACCTCCACCTCCCAGGTTAAAGCGATTCTCTACACTCAGCTTCCCGAGAGGCTGGGATTACACCCATGTCCCACCACGCCTGGCTAATTTTTTTTTGGTATTTTTTTTTTAGTACAGACAAGGTTTTACCATGTTGCCCAGGCTATCTCAAACTCCCAACCTTAAGGGATCCGCCCGTCTCAGCCTCCCAAAGTGCTGAGATTCGAGGCGTGAGCCAAGGCGCCGAGCCGTATTTTAAAAGAAATAATAGATAATGCTGAGTGTATAATTTCGGGTGACAGAGAAGTTCTCACTGATCAAATAATACTTGTGACCTTAATGAAAAAAATAGATCAACCCCTGGAAGATTGGCGGAAGGATTTTCCACACAGCTGTCAGCCGTGAAGGCACAAAGGTGAAAACAATGTTATGTGGAAGGAAGAGGCTCTGCCTGAAATGCTGGGAATGAGATGGGGAGAATGACAAGACGACTGTGGAGAGACAGAGAGCACTCTGGGTACACAGGAAACTAAGGAGGAACAAGGAGCGTGTGTTTGACACTCACAGCCATTGGACTTACCTCGGGGCTAACTGGGAATCCCTACATGATGAATAGTGACTGACATGAAAATAAGGGAGGCCCAGGTGCATAACTGGAATCTAGGAGACTGTGGAAAAGGCAATTCCCGCCCCCCTGGTGAAATGTGGTGCTGATTTAGACACTAAATGAATGAAAGATGGACACAAGATGTGTTTGTGAGGTAGAGTAATTTGCAGGGAGGGCTTGCCTGCTTTGATTTTTCCTAATTGTTTAATCTTCACTTCATTGATTTCTTTCTGAGATTTATTTTTCCTACATGTAAATCAATACTTGGCAGAGGAGTGAGAGATACATGAGGGGTGGTGCAAAGGAAGAGACCTATTATAATATAACACACAAGGTTCTGAACGGTGGCTCACACCTGTAACCCAACATTTTGGGAGGCTGAGGAGGCTGGATCAAGTGAGATCAGGAGTTCGAGATCAGCCTGGACAACATGGTGAAACCCCATCTCTACTAAATATACAAAAACTAGCTGGGGGTGGTGGCGCATGCCTGTAATACCAGCTATTCGGGAAGTTGAAGAAGGAGAATGGCTTCAACCAGGGAGGGAGAGGTTACAGTGAGCCAAGATCGCGTCATTGCACTGCACCCTAGGTGACAGAGTGAGACTCCATGGCAAAAAATAAAAATAAAGAATACATAAATATAATATAACATACACGAATGACAAAGGCACACCAATTCCAATCATCATTTTTCTATTTCTCTATAATGACTTCTTTGATCCTTTATCCTATCCATAAGAAAATCAGGCGAAAACATCTTCCTTATTTGGCTTTCTGTGAGCATGAGATCATATGGAAAATGTGAAACCCACCAGCGCAGGTCCTGGAATAGAGAACGTGATCTGTTCATGGCACAAAACTTGCCCCTTCACCCAAATCCCCCACCTCACCCCTACTTCCAATCACATTAATGATACAGATAGATCATGGGGAGGTAAAAACTAATATTCTTTGGAGTTCAGATCGTAGACTCAGAGACCAGTGCCAGCACTATCTCCTGGTCACCTTTTGGAGTAATTCACAGAAAGACAGGCTGTATTGAAGCAACAGATGATGGAGGGGGTGGTCTTTCCCCCAGACTCTCGGGTGGAACAGCAGCCTAATATCTGACTCCCAAGATGACAAAAGTAGCATGTTGCCCACGAGCTTCATCATTATTTCCTGGCTGTTTGATATAAGACAGCTCAACCTCACTTATGTTGATTTCAATGTCACTGTTTTTTCCTTTTCTTGGAGAATGTAATTTGTTTGAGTCAAGAGGGTTGTGGATGTAGAAACTGTAAAGCACATTCACTGTGTATCAATCCCAGTCCAGTCTTCCCAGAGAAGACTCTAAACACCTCCCATACTGCACCTGGGGCTGTGCCAATTTCTATCACTCACCATCACTCCAGGGAGACAGAACACACAGGGAATACATTACATAGGCAGGTTCATTACTTATAGATAAGCAGCGAGTGACAACAGAAACCTTCCTTTCAGGGTGAGCCAGTCCCTCAAGGCTCAGAAAAACTGCTCAGGACACATGGAGTCACTTCATGTGCACTGTAGCTGGGGGAAGCCAGAAAGCAGCCCAGCCTGGGTTTTGTACCCTGGAGCCACAGGGAACACTCAGCTAAAGCACTGCATGATGTTCTCCTCCAGGAAGAACAGGAAGACAGCCCAGGCTGTTCTGAGACGTTCCTCCTGATCTCAGGATGTTGCTGTCTTAGCCTATTTTTGTTGCTATAAAAGAACACTTGAGCCTGGGTATCTTCTAAAGAAAAGAGATGTGTTTGGCTCACTGATCTGCACGCTGTACTAGAAGCAGGACACTACCATCTATTTCTGGCTGCGGCCTCAGGCTGCTCCCACACTGACAGAAGAGAAGGGGGTCCTGCGTGTGCAGAGACCACAGAGATCACATGGCAAGAGAGGGAGAAAGGGGGTGTGATGGAGCTTCCAAGCTCTTTTTAAGAATCAACTCTCCAGGGTACTAATAGAGGGAGAACTTGCTAACCCCGTCCTCTGGGGACAGCATTAATCTATTCATGATGGATCCACCCCCATGACCAAAACACCCCTCCCAATAGGCACAACCTCCCACACTGGGGATTAAATTTCAAAGTGGGGTTTGGAGGGGTCAAACATTGAAACAATAGCAGTTGTATCATCAGCACATTCTATTGTTATTATGAAAACTATAACGGAGAAAGCAGGAGAAAGCTGGGTCTCCCGCCTCGTGGGTGCTTGTCCTAAAGAGGTGTTTTATGTGGTTGCCTGGCAACCAAGAAATGAGAGACAATCCACAAAGAGGAACTGCTATGGTTAGCTTCTTATTGGATTCTCATCTTCCTCCAGGTATCGCCAGACACCTGCATGCTGTGATTAGGTACTCAGTGGCCATCATCCTCTTCACCATCCTTCCCTTCTTTCTCCTTCATCGCTGGTGCTCCAAAAAAAAAAGTAAGCCTCACGAAGCAGAGGCCAGAGAACTCAGGGCCCTGTGCGGAAGCAGGATGGGAGCACGCAGGTGTGTGTTCCTCACTGGCAGGAAAGTCTCTGGCCCAAGGCAGGAGCCAGAGGCAGAGCTTTCTAGAGAGAGCACCAGACAACCTGCCCCTGCCTTCAGCTCACAGACCATTGCCTGATTGTGAACTGTATCCTCACGTCCCCTGCAGCCACTCACATCCAGGAGAAGATTCCATGACAGGCAGAAAGTGGGAGATAGAATCAATGGGATGGGAACTGACAGCTATTCATGGAATGGGGTCTTGCACTCAGAGAGATGGAATGTCTGAGTCTGGCTGTTGGCAGCTGAGGGACCTCAGGCACCTATGGCCTCCCCCTGTGTGTTGGTATCTGTTCATGAAATGAGGACCCAGAAGTGCCCTCCCAGCTGTTTCGATTGCTTCCGTCTCCTACAGATGCTGCTGTAATGAACCAAGAGCCTGCGGGACACAGAACAGTGAACAGGGAGGTAGGTCCTCCTAGCCCAGCCTCATGGATACAGTCTTATTCCCTAATAGTCCTGAAAAATGTGAACACCCTCCCTCACTCAGGATTTCCCTCTCTCCAGGACTCTGATGAACAAGACCCTCAGGAGGTGACATACGCACAGTTGGATCACTGCATTTTCACACAGAGAAAAATCACTGGCCCTTCTCAGAGGAGCAAGAGACCCTCAACAGATACCAGCGTGTGTATAGAACTTCCAAATGCTGAGCCCAGAGCGTTGTCTCCTGCCCATGAGCACCACAGTCAGGCCTTGATGGGATCTTCTAGGGAGACAACAGCCCTGTCTCAAACCCAGCTTGCCAGCTCTAATGTACCAGCAGCTGGAATCTGAAGGCGTGAGTCTCCATCTTAGAGCATCACTCTTCCTCACACCACAAATCTGGTGCCTGTCTCTTGCTTACCAATGTCTAAGGTCCCCACTGCCTGCTGCAGAGAAAACACACTCCTTTGCTTAGCCCACAATTCTCTATTTCACTTGACCCCTGCCCACCTCTCCAACCTAACTGGCTTACTTCCTAGTCTACTTGAGGCTGCAATCACACTGAGGAACTCACAATTCCAAACATACAAGAGGCTCTCTCTTAACACGGCACTTAGACACGTGCTGTTCCACCTTCCCTCGTGCTGTTCCACCTTTCCTCAGACTATTTTTCAGCCTTCTGGCATCAGCAAACCTTATAAAATTTTTTTGATTTCAGTGTAGTTCTCTCCTCTTCAAATAAACATGTCTGCCTTCATTCTTTAGGTGACTCTTTTTTTGGCTGAAAGTTTCCAGTGTTATCATTACCATGTCCAAATAACTCCAACTGTTCTCCACTGGGTTCTCACCCCTGGACTCTGAGCTTCTGGAAGCAGGGTGGAGCCTCATTTGTCTCTGAGACTCCAATTTCCATCCAAAGATGCAGCACATAAGAGGTTCCAAGGATCGTGAATCACATGAACAAGTGATATTCTTACTCTCTGCAGACCTGGAAAGCTGGCAGAGTCATTCCATGATGAAACATTTGTAGAGTCATAGGCCTTGTTAGTCTCATCTCCACGGGGACACATATCAACACATCATCTTTCATACTATAAATATACAGTCGGTCCTCTGTATCTGTGGGATTTACAGGTGTTTATTGAACCAAATATAAATCAAAAATATTCAGAGAAAAAATCCACAAAGTTTCAAAAAGCAAAACTATGTTGAATGGACACAAATGAAGCTGTGTGTAGGCTGTATCAGGAATTATAAATAATCAAGGGATGATTTCATGTACACAGGAGGATGTGCATGGGTTATTTGCAAATGCTGTGCCATTTCATGTAAGAGGCTTGAGCATCTGCAGATTGTGCTATCTGAGTGGAGATCCTGAGACCAATCACCCACGAATAATGAGGGATGACTGTATATAATTTTTATTTCTCAATTTTAAATATAAAACATAAAAAAATTACAATAACAAGATAAAATAAACAAGTGTTTTATAGTGTGAGAATACTTTTAGATATATTTTTCTCCATGTGTAACCCTTGGGCCCATGTTATTTATTGAGAAGACATTCTATTCCACCTTAAACCACATGGCAGCCTTTGTCAACTATAAAGGGACTGTGTGTACACGGATGTATTTTAGACACTGTTTTCTGCTCAGTGGCTCTCTCTCTGTCCACTCTCTTGAGAATGCTGCATTTTATGCAGCCTTATACAACCCCTAAAATTTGGTAGCTGGAGTCCTCTAGTTATTTATTATAGGCTATTTGCTATGCTTTTTTTATTTTTCTTGAGGCAGAGTCTCGCTCTGTTGCCCAGGCTGGAGTGCAGTGGCACGATCTCGGCTCACTGCAACTTCTGCCTCCCAGGTTCAAGGGATTCCGTGCCTCAGCCTCTTGAATAGCTGGCATTACAAGTGCCTGCTACCAGGCATGGCTAATTTTTGTATTTTTAGCAGAGACATGGTTTCACTATATTGGCCAGGCTGGTCTCAAACTCCTGACCTCGGTTGATCACTCACCTCGGCTTCCAAAGTGCTGGGGAAATTGATTTTCTATAGCATTATGTTACTGGATATTTCTGTAAAATTTAAAATGAGGGAGGCAGAGAGACAGAGAGAGAGCAAACCATGAGTTGGAACTCTGGAATCTTGGGACATGAGACAAATTCTAGATAAATCTACAAAAATCCAGAATTTACATGTTGTGATTTTTGCTGATAAAGTACAATTCTAAGATTGTAAATAATTGCATAATCCTTCCCTGGGAGTTTAAATCATTTGAACTGGTTCTGCTGTAATACTAGAAATACAATCATGAAAAATTCTAATGGTTTATTAGTCACAATTGCTCTGAAAACCTTAATAATACCTATTAGATATTTTGCATATTACACAGGAAGAAGAGTTTGAATCTCAGATAAAAGCAATAAAAATACATGAAAAGTCTTTCATGTTAGCACAGATTTTAGGCATCTCGTGTTCAGGAGGTTGGATCTGAGACGTGTTTTGAGTTGGTCATAGTGAAGGACGCGAGGTGTCAATTCTAGTGAGAGCAATTTCCAGGAAGCCATGCTCCGCTCTTGAGCGAGCACCCACTGGGCCTCATGCAAGGTAGAAAGAGCCTGCGTACGTCACCCTCCCATGATGTGGTCAACATGTAAACTGCATGGGCAGGGCGCCAAATAACATCCTGTGCGCTGCTGAGCTGAGCTGGGGCGCAGCCGCCTGTCTGCACCGGCAGCACCATGTTGCTCATGGTCGTCAGCATGGCGTGTGTTGGTGAGTCCTGGAAGGGAATCGAGGGAGGGAGTGCGGGGATGGAGATCTGGACCTGGAGGTAAAGATATGGGCCTAGAGGTGGAGTTATGGGCCTGGAGGTGGAGTTATGGGCCTGAAGTGGAGATCTGGGCCTGGAGTGGAGATCTGGGCCTGGAGTGGAGATAGGGGCCTGGGGTGGAGATATGTGCCTGGAGTGGAGATCTGGGCCTGGAGTGGAGATATGGGCCTGGGGTGGAGATATGTGCCTGGGGTGGAGATATGGGCCTGGAGGGGAGATATGGGCCTGGAGGGGAGATGTGGGCCTAGAGGTGGAGTGATGGGCCTAGAAGTGGAGCGATGGGCCTGGAGTGGAGATATGGGCCTGGAGGTGGAGTTATGGGCCTGCAGTAGAGATATGGGCCTGAAGTGGAGATATGGGCCTGGAGTGGAGATATGGGCCTAGAGGTGGAGTTATGGGCCCGGAGGTGGAGTTAAGGGCATGAAGTGGAGATCTGGGCCTGGAGTGGAGATATGATCCTGGAGTGGAGATATGGGCCTGGGGTGGAGATACGGGCCTGGAGCAGACATACAAGCCTGGAAAGGAGATATGGGCCTGGAGAGGAGATAGAAGCCTGGAGTGGAAATATGGGCCTGGAGTGGAGATATGAGCCTGGAGTGGATATATGAGCCTGGAGTTGAGATAGGAGCCTGGAGTGGAGATATGGGCCTGGAGTGGACTTATCAGCCTGGAGAGGAGATATGGGTCTGGAGTGGAGATACGGACCTGGAGTGGAGATCTGGGCCTGTTGTGTAGATCTAGGCCTGGAGGTAGAGATCTGGGCCTGGAGGCTGAGTCTCTGCACAGCCGAGATCCTTGTTCCTGGGGGCAGGTAGGCAGCGAGGGTGAGTTTACCTTCAGCCCAGCAAGGGCCTGGCTGCCAAGACGCACAACCCAGTGGGGGCAGCAGGGTGCCCTGGTTTGCCTGCAGATGGATGGTCCATCATGATCTTTCTTTCTAGGGTTGTTCTTGGTCCAGAGGGCCGGTCCACACATGGGTGAGTCCTTCCCCAAACCTTAGGGTGTCATCTCCCCACATAAGAGGATTTTCCTGAAATGGGAGGGAAGTCCTGTCGGGGAGTCTCTCATACACTAGGAAGAGGGGACCCTCGGATGCTCGGCCCACATTTCTGACCTTGCCCTCCCCGGCCTTTCTTTCCCTTTCCTGAGTCAAGCTCTGTGAAGACTGGGGTGAGACTAGGGTGCTCCAAGATGGGTGTGCAGGGAGGAAGTGGTGTCAGCAGCAGAGAAAGAGAGGGAAGCAGTGCTAGGAACAGCAGGTCCTCTGAGGACAAAGGTGTAACTCACACCCTCCAGCGTTTCCGTGATGGTAGGGGCTGCAGTGTGGCTGCGGTCTTTCTACCAGAAAAGGTGAGGAAACCACAGCCATGGCCCTGACATTCCAAATCCTCTGATGGGGGCTCAGTTCATCAATTGGCTGATATTCCATTCACATAGGACTTGCCCTCCATGCCGTGTCTACTTTGTATTGTTTTATATGAGTAATTTTGCAGTATTAAAATCTAGTAAGAGTTGCTTCTCCAGCACTTGCTCAAAGTTCTCAGCTGACACTTGTTGTAGGGAGACGCCATGTCTATGCAGGATGGGTCCTTCCTGTAGCCCTGGGCACCCAGGTGTGGTAGGAGCCTTAGAAAGTGGAAATGGGGAGAATCTTCTGGGCACTGGGAGTGAGGGGCGGCTCCACATCCTCCTCTCTAAGGCAGTGCCTCCTTCTCCCCCAGGTGGTCAGGACAAGCCCTTCCTGTCTGCCTGGCCCAGCGCTGTGGTGCCTCGCGGAGGACACGTGACTCTTCGGTGTCACTATCGTCATAGGTTTAACAATTTCATGCTATACAAAGAAGACAGAATCCACGTTCCCATCTTCCATGGCAGAATATTCCAGGAGGGCTTCAACATGAGCCCTGTGACCACAGCACATGCAGGGAACTACACATGTCGGGGTTCACACCCACACTCCCCCACTGGGTGGTCGGCACCCAGCAACCCCATGGTGATCATGGTCACAGGTCAGAGGCTTTCCGTCTGGGCTTCTCACTGTCCCACCTCCTGAATCCCAGAGCTTCTGGTGGGGCTGTCCGTCAGGGTCCCATCACCCAGGCCCTGGCTGTATTTGGGGTCAAGGGAGATTGAATACAGGGCAAATGGGTGCTGTGGTGGGAAGAATAACTGTCCCCAATGATGGCTACATTGTAATCCCTGGAGCCTGTGACTATTTATGTTATAGGGCAGGGGACTGAAGGGGAAGGTGGAGCTCAGGTTGTTGATGAGTTGACCTTGAGATGGGGAGACAGCCTGGACTGTCCCACTGGGCTCAGTGTAATCACAAGGGTCCGCGTGAGAGGTGGAGGAAGAGGGGAGTGGGGATTAGAGCAGTGTAGTGGGAGGGAGACGCTATCAGCCACTGCGGGCTTTGAAAGTGGAGGAAGACCACTAGTCACAGAATGCAGGTGGCCTCTAAGGGCTGGAGAAGTCAGGAGAACTGATTCGCTGATTCTCCAGAGGGAACGCAGCCCTGTAGACGCCTTGATTTCAGCACAGGGAGAACTGGATCCAATTTCTGTCTCCAGAAGTGGAAGGGGTCAGTGTGTTCTCTCCTGCTGCCATGTTTGTGGTAATTTTCTGCAGCAGCAACAGGAAACCAACACAGGAACCCAGGTCAAGGACAAGTTAGGAACCCAGGTCAAGGACAAGTTAGGAAACCAAACAAGGACAGCCAGGTGTGGTGGTGGGCGCGAGTAATCCAACGACTGGGGAGGCTGAGGCAAGAGAATCACTTGAACTGGGGAGGCAGAGGTTTCAGTGAGCCAAGACAACACCACTACACTCCAGCCTGGGTGAAAAAGTGACTGTCTCAAAAATAAATTAATTAATCAATTAATTAAAGAAACCAAACAAGGAGAAGGTTGGCTACCCTGAGATCAGCAAGGGCAGGATGCTGATGTTACCACCAGGCTCCATCCACATAGGAAGGGGTTGATGCTCCTGGAACCAGCACCAGGGGCCACCCTATGGAAGCTGGGGCCATGGAGAAGGCACAGACATGGCAGGAGAGGCTCCCAATCCCCATCAGGAACAGGGTGTGTGGTCACTGATGTCTGTCTTACTGATGAGTTGATACCACCTGCCAGAGACTCCAATTTGTTCAAAAGAGATTGATTCAGGCTGCTAAGAGCCTGGACATGCAGCCTGTCCTCTTCCACCCCCATATAAACAGCAGGAAAGAGATTAGTGGGAAACAGATACAACAGCCCAAGAGATGAGGCTGTCTTCACAGTGGCAAGGGAGTCAGGGGCTACTGGAGACAGAGGGACAGAGAAGAGGGAGGAAGACAGATGGAGGCACCTGCACCAGGGGATATGGGCACAGAAAAGACACGGAGATGCAGAGAGGGAGGAGAGAGACAGACACGGGGAGGGGAACCCTCACTCATTCCAGGTGCCATGGATGGGATGATAAAGAGAGATGCCTTCTAAACTCACAACTTCTCTTTCTAGGAAACCACAGAAAACCTTCCCTCCTGGCCCACCCAGGTCCCCTGGTGAAATCAGGAGAGAGAGTCATCCTGCAATGTTGGTCAGATATCATGTTTGAGCACTTCTTTCTGCACAAAGAGTGGATCTCTAAGGACCCCTCACGCCTCGTTGGACAGATCCATGATGGGGTCTCCAAGGCCAATTTCTCCATCGGTTCCATGATGCGTGCCCTTGCAGGGACCTACAGATGCTACGGTTCTGTTACTCACACCCCCTATCAGTTGTCAGCTCCCAGTGATCCCCTGGACATCGTGGTCACAGGTGAGAGTGTCTAGACATTGTTCTCATTGTCACTGGGACACAGAGTGAATGATCCAGGACTTGGAACCCCCAGGTGGTCATGAGGAAGATAAGTGTGGGATTCTTATGGAAAGAGAGTGACTTGGTGAGGTCTGTACCAACAGAGACAGAGAAACAGGAGACATAAGTACAGAACAGGTGTCATAACAGGGGACAGACACAGGGGCCATACAGGGAGGTAGAAAAGAGAGAAAGAGGTAAAGGAGACACTCAGACAGACAGACATGTCCCAGAGAGAGGTGTCCTTCCATGCTGACTTTGCTCAGAGACCTGGCACAGGTTAGAAGTTTCATTTCTGTTTTACCTCCACAAAGTGTTTCTACCAGAAGAACCCAAGGACACCCATATTTCTGACCTGAGTTGGGCCCTGTGGCCTCAGGCCTTGTGCCACCTACAGATGCCGTGTTTATTCTGACACCTCTGCCTTCCATGCAATGGAGAGTAATCATCCCAGGATATCATGGCCCCAGAACACCAACCCCTGTATGCTGTGTGAACTTGGGGTCCCCAGACTGGATTCTGAGGCTCATATTCCAAATAATCCCACATATGATAGGATCGCTGAGAGACACAGAGAAAAATCAGGGACACCAAAAAGCAAAGACATAAACACACACAAAATGAGCCAGAAGAAGGAGATTAAGAGATTCACAGACACATAAAAAGAAAGAAAAGAGGGCAGAGTGGAGAGAATGATGGAAAGGAGGAGAGAAAAGCCCCAAAATCAGAACCCTGAGGGAGGGACACAAAGACAGAGAAAGATAAAGATGTGGGGATGGATTGCAGAGATTCCAAATAGAACTAGAGAGACTGAGAGGCAGAGAAAGACAAGGAGACGGAGAGAGAGAGATGATAGATGGATAGATAGACGTAGATAGATGATAAATAGGTAGATGATAGATAATGGATTGGTTATAGATACATAGATGATGACTGATAGATGATACATAGAGATGATGATGATGACGATGATGATGATAGACACATAGATATATACATAGATGATACATAAATAGAGACAGAGAGGCAGACAGAGAGGTAATAGAGAGAGAGATAGATGATACATATATAGATAATAGATGATTGATGGATAGATAGACAGATAGACAATTGATAGAGAGATAGATAAGTGATACATAAATATAGATGATAGATAATTTGTAGATAGACACAAAATAGATAAATAGATAGATCGATAGATAATAGATAGAAATGTGCAGAAAGTTATGAACAAGACAGAAAGTGAGAGACTCAAAATTAAAGAAAAAGGAAGATCAAGTCAACCAATCCAAGGAGGGTCAGAGAGAATAAAACAATCCAAAAAGGGAAAACATACCTCAGGGTGGGGAAGTGAGGTCATAGACCTAGAGAGACAGAAAAGGTAGAAGGAGGAAACAGATATGAAGAGAGATGGGGTGGAGAGTGAGAGAGAGAGAGAGAGCATTAGGTCATAGAGCAGGGGAGTGAGTTCTCAGCTCAGGTGTGAGGGGAGCTGTGACAAGGAAGAACCTCCCTGAGGAAACTGCCTCTTCTCCTTCCAGGTCTATATGAGAAACCTTCTCTCTCAGCCCAGCCGGGCCCCAAGGTTCAGGCAGGAGAGAGCGTGACCTTGTCCTGTAGCTCCCGGAGCTCCTATGACATGTACCATCTATCCAGGGAGGGGGGAGCCCATGAACGTAGGCTCCCTGCAGTGCGCAAGGTCAACAGAACATTCCAGGCAGATTTCCCTCTGGGCCCTGCCACCCACGGAGGGACCTACAGATGCTTCGGCTCTTTCCGTCACTCTCCCTACGAGTGGTCAGACCCGAGTGACCCACTGCTTGTTTCTGTCACAGGTGAGAAAAGCCCATATCTCTCTCATGTCCTATGATCCTAAATCCTTAGCTAAGGAGCTTCCTGCTGATGATGGAGAAAAGCATGGACAGATGCAGAGAGAAGACACAGCAGGTGTGAGGGCGGAGTCAGGGCGCAGGATGGCAGACAGGGCACCTCCAAACCCTCCTTCATGGCCTGCATGGAGGCCTCCGATCAGGGCTCCAGGCACCCAGGCAGATGGAGAAAGCGGTCAGGACAGACCCAGAGAAGGGGAGACTGGGCTTAGTTTGGGGAGATCAGAGGTTCCCTCAGCCCCTCAATCTTACCCATTTCCCAGAAGCCCATCATGGCCTCTCACCCACACAGAGAGATATCATCACCAGCAACCCCTACACCCTTTTCTTTTCATTTTCAAAAATATTTATTGAGGTTAAATGTAACTATATAATTTACCACCTTTACCATTTTTAAAAGTAAAATCTAGTGGTCATAAATACCTTTATATGCTGGGCGTGGTGGTTCACAGTTGTAATCTCGGCGCTTTGAGAGGCCAAGGAAGGTGGATCATTTAAGATCAGGAACTCGAGATCACCCTGGCCAACATGTGGGAAATTCATCTTTACTAAACAGACAAGAAAAATTAGCCGAGCATGCTGGCATGCACCTGTAGTCCTAGCTACTTGGGAGGCTGAGGCAGGAGAAGCACTTAAAGCCAGGAGGCCGAGGTTGCACTGAGCCGAGATCATGCCACTGCACTGCAGCCTGGGAGACAGAGAGAGACTCTGTTTCTAAATAAATAAATACATCTATATTCTTTTTTTTGTTACCCTCCACCCTTCCCTTCCTGGCCTCTGGTGTCCACCATTGTATTCTCCACCTTCATGAGATCCACCTTTTATCTCCTGCATGTGGGTGAGAAATGGGAATCTTTGTAATGACCTCCAGTTCCATCCATGTGGCTGCAAATGACAGGATGTTATTGTTTCTATGGATGAGTAGTCTCCACTGTGTGTGTGTACCACAGTTCTCTATCCATTCACCCACTGATAGGCAGGTAGGTTGACTCCACATCTTGGCTACTGTGAACAGTGCTGGAACAGTCATATGAGTGCAGATATCACTTCGATACACTGATGTCCTTTCCTTTGGATATAAACCCAGTAGTGAAATTGCTGGATACTATGAAAGTTCTCTTTTTTTTTTTTTTCTTTTTTGAGAAAGAGTTTCCCTCCTTAGTCCAAGCTGGAGTCTAAGTGGTGAGATCTTGGCTCATTGCAACCTGTGCCTCCTAGGTTCAAATGATTGTCCTGACTCAGCCTCCCTAGTAGCTGTGATTACAGGTGCATGCCACCATGCCTGGCTAATTTTTGTATTTTTTTAGCACAGACGGGATATCCCAATTTTGGGCAGGCTGCTCTCAAACTCCTGACCTCAAGTGAGGTGCCTGCCTCGGTTTCCCAAAGTGCTGAAATTACAGGCATAAGCCACTATGCCCAGCCTCCTTTTAGTTTTTTAAAGAATTTCCATACTTTTCTCCATAATAGTTGTACTAATTTACATTCCTACCAACAGGGTACCAGGGTTCTCCTTTCTCTACCATCTTGCCAGCATTTGTTTTGCCTGTCTTGCAGATAAAAGCCATTTTACTTTACTTTATTTTATTTATTTATTTATGTTGAGATGGAGTTTCACTCATAGTCGCCCAGGCTGGAGTGCAAGGGTGTGATCTCAGCTCACTGCAACCTCCGCCTCCCGCGTTCAACTGATTCTCCTGCCTCAGCCTCCAAAGTAGCTGGGATTACAGGCGTGTGCCACCACGCCTAGCTAATTTTTGTATGTTTAGTAGAGAGGGAGTTTCTCCATGATGGTCAGGCTGGTCTCCCGACCTCAGGTGATCCGCCCACCTCCGCTTCCTGAAGTGCCGGAATTACAGGCGTGAGCCACCGGCCTAAAAGGCATTTTAATGGGATGAGATGAAAACTCATCGCGATTGTAATTTACATTTCTCTGATGATGAGTGATGCCGAGTACTTTTTCATATACGTGATCGCCATTTCTATGTTTTGTTTGTGGAGAAATGTCTCCTCATGTCTTTTGCTCGTTTTTTAATTAAATTGTTTTATTGAGTTGTTTGAGCTTCTTATATTTCCAGTTATTAATCCCGTCTCAGATGAATAGTTTGCAAATATTTGCTCCTATTTTGTGGGTTGTCTCTTCACTTTCTTGGTTTATCTTTTGTGGTGCAGAAGTTGCTTGGTTTGATGTAATCCTAATGGTCTATTTTTTGCTTTGATTACTTGTGTTTTGAAGGTTTTAAACAAAATGTCTTTCGTCAGACAAATGTCTTCCCCATTATTTTCTTCTACATGTTTCATAGGTTCAGGCCTTAGACTCATGTTTTTAATCCATTTTCATTTGATTTTTGTTTATGGTGACAGGTATAGATGCAGTTTTATTCCTCTGCATGTAGATATCCAGTTTTCCCCACACCATTTATTGAAAAGACTGTCCTTTCCTGATTGTGAGTTCTTGGCACCTTTGTCAAAGTCCATTAAATGGGCTGGGTATGGTGGCTCACACCTGCAATTCCAGCACTTTGGGAGGCCGAGGCGGGTGGATCACCTGAAGCCAGGAGTTCAAGACCAGGCTGGCCAACAGAGTGAAACCTCGTCTCTACTAAAAATACAAAAATTAGCTGAGCATGGTGACCAGTGCCTGTAATACCACTACTCGGGTGTTTGAGGCAAGAGAATTGCTTGAATCCAGGAAGTGGAGGTTGCATTGAGCTGAGATTGCACCTCTGCACTCCAGCCTGCATGACAGAGCAAGATTCCATCACACACACACAAAAAAAAGCCATTGGGTGTAAATGCATGGATCATATCCGTGTTCTCCATTCTGTTCCATTTTTTATGTGCCTTTCTTTATGCCAATGTCATGCTGTTTTGCTTACTACAGCTCTGTAACATATTTCTAAGTCAGGTAGTGTGATGCTCCTGTTTTCTCTTTATACCTTCAAGTCTCAAGACAGTGGGCATCGCACACAAAAATTATGGAGAAGAGGATCCCAAGACTCCCAGGGTCCAACATTAGATAACAGAGTGTTGGCCATGAACCAACCTCAAAGATTTCCATTGAGTAGAGGACAAGCACCCTCATTTCCTCACATCTCTCCTGTCCCATGTTCTAGGAAACCCTTCAAGTAGTTGGCCTTCACCCACAGAACCAAGCTCCAAATCTGGTGAGTAAAGGACCCCTCTTATCTCTGCTTTTGGAAACCTGGGGAGGTGGAAGCCTTGGATGCAAGCGTTGGCTCAAACCTCCCAGCTCTGTGAATGAGGGCCTGTCTTCCACCATCTCTGAACTCCAGACACTCCAACAGTGAAAGGGATCTAGGGCCACCAAAGGGCTCAGCGAAGTCTCTTAACCTTTAATGTCCTGCAGGTGAGACCTCCTACAAGCTAGAAGAATGATTGCCAATCTGACATCCTTCTCAGGAAAAATGCAGTGTTTTTTCTGCCTGCATTCCTAACTGGAGGATAAATTCCTGGGGACTTGAGAGAGGGAAGGGAAGGGAACATCTCATGAGGGTGGGTGTTTTAGAGAAGTTCCACTTGCCAAGGAATGAATTACTGTTGGTCATGAAGCAACCCTGGCTGACTCAGCAGAGCAAGAGCCTTGCCGTAACAGAGAACAGAGCTCATGCACGCACACTTCGACTCACTGACTCATTCAGCCACGGCCCCATGCTCAGGCTGTGCAGTTGGAATCCTTTCCTATTGTTGCCATAACAAATTTCCACAAGATTCGTGGGTGAAAATAAAGCGGCTTTTTAATTATCTTACAGTGCTGTAGCTCAAAGTATGAAGTGCATCTCACTGGGCTAAAAACAAGGTGACAGCAAGGCTGCCTTCCCTCTGAGGGTTCCAGGCAAGAATCTGCTTCTCACTTGTCCCAGCTTCTAAAGGCTCCCAGTTCCTTGGCTCCTGGTCCCCTTCCTCCTTCCTCAAAGCCCACAAAGACTGGTCACATCTCACATGGCATCACTCAGACCCTTCTTCCTTACCACACCTCTTTCTCTGAATGCTGCTCTCCCTTCTTCCTTATCTTTTGAAAACTTGGGGATTCTATTGGGTTCACCAAGATGAAAATCCATCATAATCTCCCGGAAATCATTCAGGATACCCTTGTTTTAAGTTCAGCTGACTAGCAACCGTAATTCCATCTGCAATCTTCATTCCTCCTTTCCATGTAAAATAACATATTCACAAGCTATGGAGGCCAGGACAGGGACATTTTGGGGTGGGACAGCATTCTCCTGCCTTCCACGAACGGTGAACAAGATGCATTTGGCCTCTGCTCTTGGGACACTGATATTGCAGATGGTTAAATGGGAGGGCAGAAAATGAATGCACAAGTGGACCAATAAATGAATGATCCATTGGGAAGCATCTGTGCATGAAATCTATTTGTTTGTTCGTTCATTTATTTATTGAGACAGAGTCTCCCTCTGTCTTCCAGGCTACAGTGCAGTGTCACGATCTTGGCTCACTGCAACCTGCGTCTCCTGGATCCAAGTGATTCTCCTGCCTCACCCTCTCGAGTAGCTGGGATTACAGGCAACTGCCACCATGCCCGGCTAACTCTTTTTGTATATTTTTTGTAGAGAGGATGTTTCACCATGTTGGCCAAGCTTGTCTGAAACTCCCAACCTCAAGTGATCCGACCATCTCAGCAACCCAAAGTACTGGGATTACAGGCGTGAGCCACTTTGCCCAGCCAGAATTCAAAATCAATAATAGATAATGCTGAGTGTATAATTTTGGGTGACAGAGAAGGTCTCACTAATCAGATATTTGTGACATTAATGAAAAACACGGATTGAACCCCTGAAAGATTGGCGGAAGGATTTTCCACACAGCTGTCAGCTGTGAAGGCACAAAGGTGAAAACAATCTGATGTTGAAGGAAGAGGCTCTGCCTCAAATGCTGGGAATGAAGTGGGGAGAATGACAAGACGACTGTAGAGAGACGGAGAGCACACTGGGTACACAGGAAACTAAGGAGCAACAAGGAGTGTGTGTTTGACACTCACAGCCATTGGATTCACCTCGGGGTAACCAGGAATCCCTACATGATTAATATGACTGACATGAAAATAAAGGAGGCCCAGGTGCGTAACTGGAATCTAGGAGACTGTGGAAAAGGCAATTGCCACCCCACTGGTGAAATGTGGTGCTGATTTAGACCCTAAGTGGATGAAGCAGATGGATATAAGCTATGCTTGGGAGGTAGAATCATTTGCAGGGAGGGCTTGCTGGGTTTGAGTTTCCTAGTTGTTTAATCCTTGCTAAATTAATTTCTTTCTGAGATTTATTCCTCCTACACATAAATCAATACCTGGCAAAGGAGTGACAGATATATGAGGGGTGGTGGAAATGAAGGGACCTATTATAGCATAGTATACAAGTCTGTGAACGGTGGCTCACTCCTGTAACCCAGCACTGCAGGAGGCTAAGGCCAGTGGATTCCAAGAAATCAGGAGTTCGAGACCAGCCTGGCCAACATGGTGAAACCCTATCTCTACATGGTGAAACCCTATCTCTCCTAAAAATACAAAAATTAGCCGAGCATGGTGGTGCATCCCTGTGATCCCAGCTCCTGCTCTGGAGGATGAAGCAGGAGAATGACTTCAACCCAGGAGGTGGAGGTTGCAGTGAGTGGAGATCGCATCACTGCACTCCAGCCTGGGTGACACAAGGAGACTCCGTCTCAAAAAATAAAAATAAGAAATGCATAAATATAATAAAACACACACGAACGACAAAGGCACCTGAATTCCCATCATCATTTTTCTATTTCTCTATAATTACTTCTTTGATTCTTTATCTTATCCATTAGACAATCAGCCTAAAACCTCTTCCGTATTTGGCTTTCTGTGAGCATGAGATCATATAGAAAATGTGAAAGCCCGCTGAATCCTCCAGCACAAATCCTGGAATAGAGAAAGTGCTCTGGTCATCACAAAAAAAACTTGCCCCCTCACCCAAATCCCCCACCTCACCCCTACTTCCAATCACCTGTGCAGATACAGATAGACCATGGGGAGGTAAATGCTAATACTCCTTGGAGTGAGTCCAGATCTTGGAATCAGAGATCAGTGCCAGCACTAGCTCCTGCTCCCCTTTCCTACTAATTCACAGGAGGACAGGTGGTATTGAAGCAATAGATAGTCGAGGGGGTGGTCCTTCCCCCAGCCTGTCAGGTAGAACAGCAGCCTAACATGTGTCTCCCGAGATCACAAAGAATAGCACATTTCACACGGGCTTCAACACTATTTTCTGGCTGTTTGACATAAGAGAATTCTACTTCGCATTTTTGATCTTGATTTCACTTTTGTTTCCTTTTCTTGGAGAATGCAAGTTGTTTAACTCAAGAATGCCGTGGATGTAGAAATCCTAAAGCACATTCGCTGTGTATCAATCCCAGTCCAGTCTTCCCAGAGAAGACTCTAAACACCTCCTGGACTGCACCTGGGCCTATGCCAATTCCTATCACTCACCGTCACTCCAGGGAGACAGAACACACAGAGAACACATTACACAGGCAGGTTCATTACTAACAGATAAGCAGCGAGTGACAACAGAAGCCTACATTTCAATGTGAGCCAGTTCCCCAAGGCTCAGAAAAGCTGCTCGAGACATGTGGAGTCACCCCATTTGCAGTGTAGCTGGGGGAAGCCAGAAAGCAGCCCAACCTGGGTTTTGTACCCTGGAGCCACAGGAAGCACTCAGCTAAAGCACTGCATCACGTCCTCCTCCAGGAAGAACAGGAAGACAGCCCAGGCTGTTCTGGGACTTTCCTCCTGATCTCAGGACGTTGCTGTCTTAGTCCATTTTTGTTGCTCTAAAGGAACACTTGAGCCTGGGTAACTTCTAAACAAAAGATTTTGGTTTGCCTTACAGTTCCGCAGGCTGTACTGGAAGCATGGCACCAGCATCTATTTCTTGTGACTGCCTCAGGCTGCTCCCACTCTGGCAGAAGGGAAGGAGGGTCTGTCTGTGCAGAGACCACAGAGATCACACGGCAAGAGAGGGAGCAAGGGAGAGGGGGAGTGATGGAGCTTCCAAGCTCTTATGAACAACCAGCTCTCCAGGAACTAATAGAGGGAGAACTTGCTAACCCCGTCTCCTTAAAACAGCATTGATCTGTTCATGATGTATCCACCCCCATGACTCAAACACCTCCCAAGAGGCCCACCCTCCCACACTGGGGGGTAAATTTCAATCTGAGGTTTGAAGGGGTCAAACATCTCAACTAAAGTAGTGGTATCCTCAGCACGTTCTATGGTTACTATGAGAGCTATAACTGAGAAAGCAGGAGGAAGCTGGGTCTCCCGCCATCTGGGTGCTTGTCCTAAAGAGACGCTGTATGTGGTTACCTGTGAATCAAGAAATGCAAGACAATTCATAAAGAGGAACTGCTATGATTAGCTTCTTATTGGTGTCTCCTCTTCTTCCAGGTAACCTCAGACACCTGCACATTCTGATTGGGACCTCAGTGGTCAAAATCCCTTTCACCATCCTCCTCTTCTTTCTCCTTCATCGCTGGTGCTCCAACAAAAAAAAGTAAGTCTCACGAAGCAGAGGCCAGAGAGCTCAGGGCCATGTGGGGAAGCAGGATGGGAGCACACGGGTGTGTGTTCCTCACCAGCAGGATGGTCCCTGGCCCAAGACAGGAGCCACAGAGGCAGGACTTTCTAGAGAGAGCACCAGATTCCCTTCCCCTGCCTTCAGCTCACAGACCATTGCCTGATTCTGAACTGTATCCTCACGTCCCCTGCAGCCACTCACATCCAGGAGAAGGTTCCATGACAGGCAGAAAGTGGGAGATAGAATCAATGGAATGGGACCTCAGAGCTATTCATGGGATGGGTCCTTGAACTCAGAGAGATAGAATGTCTGAGTCTGCTGTTGGCAACTGAGGGACCTCAGGCACCTATGGCCTCCCCCTGTTTGTTGGTATCTGCTTATGAAATGAGGACCCAGAAGTGCCCTCCGAGCTCTTTTGTTGACTTCCGTCTTCTACAGATGCTGCTGTAATGGACCAAGAGCCTGCAGGGAACAGAAGTGAACAGCGAGGTAGGTGCTCCTCGGCCCAGCCTCGTGGCTAGTGTTATTCCCAAAGAGTCCTGAAAAATGTGAGCACCCTCCCTCACTCAGCATTTCCCTCTCTCCAGGATTCTGATGAACAAGACCATCAGGAGGTGTCATACGCATAATTGGAACACTGTGTTTTCACACAGAGAAAAATCACTCGCCCTTCTCAGAGGCCCAAGACACCCCCAACAGATACCAGCATGTACATAGAACTTCCAAATGCTGAGCCCAGATCCAAAGTTGTCTTCTGTCCACGAGCACCACAGTCAGGCCTTGAGGGGATCTTCTAGGGAGACAACAGCCCTGTCTCAAAAC
This sequence comes from Homo sapiens, assembly GCF_000001405.40. Taxonomy (NCBI): domain Eukaryota; kingdom Metazoa; phylum Chordata; class Mammalia; order Primates; family Hominidae; genus Homo; species Homo sapiens. The sequence continues at coordinate 58,669 of NT_113949.2, read as the reverse complement.
TGGGTTGCCAGCTCCCATGTACCAGCAGCTGGAATCTGAAGGCATCAGTCTTCATCTTAGGGCATCGCTCTTCCTCACACCACAAATCTGAATGTGCCTCTCACTTGCTTACAAATGTCTAAGGTCCCCACTGCCTGCTGGAGAAAAAACACACTCCTTTGCTTAGCCCACAGTTCTCCATTTCACTTGACCCCTGCCCACCTCTCCAACCTAACTGGCTTACTTCCTAGTCTACTTGAGGCTGCAATCACACTGAGGAACTCACAATTCCACACATACAAGAGGCTCCGTCTTAACGCAGCACTTAGACACGTGCTGTTCCACCTTCCCTCATGCTGTTCCACCTCCCCTCAGACTAGCTTTCAGCCTTCTGTCAGCAGTAAAACTTATATACTTTTTAAAATAACTTCAATGTAGTTTTCCATCCTTCAAATAAACATGTCTGCCCCCATGGTTTCGGTAATGGGACTCTTTTCTTGCCTAAGGCTTCCGGTGTTATCAGTACCATGTCCATATAATCCCATCTGTTCCCCACTGAGTTCTCATCCCTGGACTCTGATCTTCTGGAAGCAGGGTGGAGCCTCATTTGTCTCTGGGACTCCAATTTCCATCCAAAGATGTAGCACATAGGAGGTTCCAAGGATCGCGAATCACATGAACAAGTGATACTCTTACTCTCTGCAGACCTGGAAAGCTGGCAGAGTCATTCCACAATGAAACATTTGTAGAGTCATAGGCCTTGTTAGTCTCATCTCCATGGGGACACATATCAACACATCTTCTTTCATAATATAAATATACGGTCACTCCTCCATATCTGCGGGGTTTACAGGTGTTTATTGAACCAAGTATAAATCAAAAATATTGAGAGAAAGTATCCACAGAGTTTCAAAAAGCATAACTATGTTAAATGGACACAAATGAAGCTGTGTGTAGGCTGTATCAGGAATTATAGGTAATCTAGAGATGATTTCATGTATACAGGAGGATGTGCATAGGTTATTTGCAAATGCTGTGCCATTTCATATAAGAGGCTTGAGCATCTACAGATTTTGGTATCTGAGTGGAGATCTCAAAACCAATCACCCACGAATAGTGAAGGATGACCGTATATGACTTTTATTTCTCAAATTTAAATATAAATCATAAAAAATGTACAACTAGATAAAAACTAAGAAGTGTTTTTATAGTGTCAGTTAGATTTATTTTTTACTAGGTGTAACCCATTGGTTTAATATTATTTATTGAGAAGACATTCTATGCCACCTTAAACCACACAGCAGCCTTTGTCAACTCTAAAGGGATTGTGTGTACATGGATGTATTTTAGACACTGTTTCTGCTAAGGGGCTCTCTGTGTCCACACTCTTGATGACGCTGCACTTTATGTAGCCTTATAGAACCCTTTAAATTTAGTAGCCAGAGCCCTCTAATTTGTTATTATAGGCTATTTGCTTTTTTTTTCTTGAGGCGGAGTCTTGCTCTGTCGCCCAGGCTGGACTGCAGTGACACAATCTCAGCTCACTGCAACCTCCACCTCCCAGGTTCAAGCGATTCTCGTGCCTCAGCCTCTTGAGCAGCTGGCGTTACAGGTGCCTGCCACCAGGCACGGCTAATTTTTGGATTTTTAGCAGAGACACGGTTTCACTATGTTGACCAGGCTGCTCTCAAACTCCTTATCTCAGTTGATCCGCCCACCTCGGCTTCCCAACGTGCTGGGGAAAACTTGATTTTCTATAGCATTATGTTACTGGATATTTCTGTAAAATTTAAAACGAGGGAGGGAGAGAGACAGAGAGAGATCAAACTCCAGAGTTGGGACTCTGGAATCTTGGGTCATGAGACAAATTTTAGATTAAACTACAAAACTCCAGAATTTACAGGTGTGGTTTTTGCTGATAAAGTACAATTCTAAGATTGTAAATAATTGCATAATCCTTCCCTGGGAATTTAAATCATTTTAGCTGGTTCTGCTGTAATACTAGAAATACAAGCATGAAAAATTCTAATGGTTTATTAGTCACAATGACTCCGAAAACATTAATAATACCTATTAGATACTTTGCATATTACACAGGAAGAAGAGTTTGAATCTCAGATAAAAACAATAAAAATACATGAAAAGTCTTTCACGTTAGCACAGATTTTAGGCATCTTGTGTTCGGGAGGTTGGATCTGAGACGTGTTGTGAGTTGGTCATAGTGAAGGACGCGAGGTGCCAATTCTAGTGAGAACAATTTCCAGGAAGCCGTGTTCCGCTCTTGAGCAAGCACCCACTGGGCCTCATGCAAGGTAGAAAGAGCCTGCGTACGTCACCCTCCCGTGATGTGGTCAACATGTAAACTGCATGGGCAGGGCGCCAAATAACATCCTGTGCGCTGCTGAGCTGAGCTGGGGCGCGGCCGCCTGTCTGCACCGGCAGCACCATGTCGCTCATGGTCATCAGCATGGCGTGTGTTGGTGAGTCCTGGAAAGGAATAGAGGGAGGGAGTGCGGGGATGGAGATCTGGGCCCAGAGGTGGAGATATAGGCCTGGAGGTGGAGTTATGGGCCTGGAGTGGAGATCTGGGCCTGGAGTGGATATATGGGCCTGGAGATGGAGTGATGGGCCTAGAAGTGGAGATCTGGGTCTGGAGTGGAGATATGGGCCTGGAGGTGGAGATATGGGCCTGGAGTGGAGATCTGGGCCTGGAGTGGAGATAGGAACCCGGAGGGGAGATAGGAGCCTGGAGTGAAGATATTGGCCTGGGATGGAGATATGGGCCTGGAGTGGAGACATGGGCCTGGAGGTGGAGATATGGGCCTGGAGGTGGAGATATGGGCCTAGAGGTGGATATCTGGGCCTGGAGTGGACATATGGGCCTAGGATGGAGATATGGGCTTGGGGTGGAGATATGGGCCTGGATTGGAGATATGGGTCTAGGGTGGAAATATTGGCCTGGAGTGGAGATATGGGCCTGGAGTGGAGATATGGGCTTGGGGTGGGGATAGGGGCCTGGGGTGCGGATATGGGCCTGGAGGCTGGGTCTCTACACAGCCGACAGCCCTGTTCTTGGGTGCAAGCAGGCACTGAGGGTGAGTTTCCCTTCAGCCCAGCAAGGGCCTGGCTACCAAGACTCACAGCCCAGTGGGGGCAGCAAGGGAGTCCTGGTTTGCCTGCAGATGGATGGTCCATCATGATCTTTCTTTCCAGGGTTCTTCTTGCTGCAGGGGGCCTGGACACATGAGGGTGAGTCCTTCTCCAAACCTTCGGGTGTCATCTCCCCACATAAGAGGATTTTCCTGAAACAGGAGGGAAGCCCGGTGGGGGATTTTCTTATAAACAAGGATGAGGAGACCCTGGGGTGCTCAGCCCACAGTTCCGACCTTGCCCTCCCCAGCCTTCCTTTCCCTTGGCTGAGTCAGGTTCTGTGGGAACCCGGGAGGGTAGACTGGGGTCCTCCAAGCTGGGCTGTGCGGCTGGGATGTGGTGTCACTGGCAGAGGAAGGGAGCAAAGCAGTGCTAGGAACAGCAGGCCTCTGAGGACAAAGGTGTAACTCACACCCTCCAGCGTTTCCATGACGGTAGGGGCTGCAGTGTGGCTGCTGTCATTCTACCTCAGAGGTGGGGGAACCCCAGCCAGGGCCCTGACCTTCCAAATCCTCTGTTGGGGGCTCAGTTGTGTATTGTGGTTCACACATTGGCTGATATTCCATTCACAAAGAACATGCCCTCGACCCCATGTCTATTTGTGTTGTTTTATGTGAGTAATCTTGCAGTATTAAAATCTAGTAGGAGTCCCTTACTCAGCACTTGCTCAAAGTTCTCAGCTGACACTTTTGTTGTAGAGAGACGCCAAGTCTATGCGGGGTGGGTCCTTCCCGTACCCATGGGCACCCAAGTGTGGTAGGAGCCTTAGAAACGAGGAAAGTGGGGAGAATCTTCTGAGCACTGGCAGGGAGGGGCGGCTCCACATCCTCCTTTCTAAGGTGGCGCCTCCTTCTCCCCCAGGTGGTCAGGACAAGCCCTTGCTGTCTGCCTGGCCCAGCGCTGTGGTGCCTCGAGGAGGACATGTGACTCTTCTGTGTCGCTCTCGTCTTGGGTTTACCATCTTCAGTCTGTACAAAGAAGATGGGGTGCCTGTCCCTGAGCTCTACAACAAAATATTCTGGAAGAGCATCCTCATGGGCCCTGTGACCCCTGCACACGCAGGGACCTACAGATGTCGGGGTTCACACCCACGCTCCCCCATTGAGTGGTCAGCACCCAGCAACCCCCTGGTGATCGTGGTCACAGGTCAGAGGACTCATGTCTGGGCTTCTCCTTCTCCCACTTCCTGAATCCCAGAGCATCTGGTGGGGGTGTCCACCAGGGTCCAATCATCCAGGCCCTGACTGTATTTGGTGTCAATGGGGATTGAATACAGGGGAATGGGTGCTGTGGTGGAAAGAGTAACTGTCGGCAGCATGGCTATATTGTAATCCTTGGAGCCTGTGACTATTTATGTTATAGGACATGGGACTGAAGGGGAAGATGGAGTTCAGGTTGTTGATGAGTTGACCTTGAGATGGGGAGACGACCTGGACTCTCCCACTGGGCTCAGTGTAATCACAAGGGTCCACATGAGAGGAGGAGGAAGAGGAGAGTGGGGATTAGAGCAGCGTAGTGGGAGGGAGAGTCCACCAGCCACTGCGGGCTTTGAAAGTGGAGGAAGGCCAGAAGCCACGGAATGCAGGTGGCCTTTAGGGGCTGGAGAAGTCAATGGAACTGATTCTCCCGAGTCTCCAGAGGGAATGCAGCCCTGCAGATGCCTTGATTGTAGCCCAGGAAGAACAGGGTCTGATTTCTGTCAACAGAAGTGTTCTCTCCCGCCGCCGTGTTTGTGATAATTTTCTGCAGCAACAACAGGAAACAACACAGGAATCCAGGTCAAGGACAAGTTAAAAAACCAAACAAGAGGGTTGGCTACCCTAAGGTCAGCAAGGGTGCACTGCTGATGCCACCACCAGGCTGGAGCCGCATAGGGAGGGATCCACAGGGAGAGTCGGGGGTGGAGGGTGAGAGAGAGAGAGAGCATTAGGTCATAGAGCAGGGGAGTGAGTTCTCAGCTCAGGTGTGAGGGGAGCTGTGACAAGGAAGAACCTCCCTGAGGAAACTGCCTCTTCTTCCAGGTCTATTTGGGAAACCTTCACTCTCAGCCCAGCCGGGCCCCACGGTTCGCACAGGAGAGAACGTGACCTTGTCCTGCAGCTCCAGGAGCTCATTTGACATGTACCATCTATCCAGGGAGGGGAGGGCCCATGAACCTAGGCTCCCTGCAGTGCCCAGCGTCAATGGAACATTCCAGGCTGACTTTCCTCTGGGCCCTGCCACCCACGGAGGGACCTACACATGCTTCGGCTCTCTCCATGACTCACCCTATGAGTGGTCAGACCCGAGTGACCCACTGCTTGTTTCTGTCACAGGTGAGGAAAGCCCATGCCTGTCCCATGTCCTGTGATCCTAGAGCCTTAGCTGAGGAGCTTCCTGCTGATGATGGAGAGAAGCATGGACAGATGCAGAGAGAACACGCAGCATGGTGTGAGGGAGGGATCAGGGCACAGGATGGCAGACAGGGCACCTCCAAACCCTCCTGCACGGCCTGCATGGAGGCCCGCGGCCAGGGCTCCAGGCACCCAGGCAGATGGAGAAAGTGGTCAGGACAGACCCAGAGGAGGGAGACTCGGCTCAGTTTGGGGAGATCAGAGGCTCCCTCAGACCCTAAACCTTACCCATTTCCCAGAAGCCCATACTGGCCTCTCACCCACACAGAGATGTCATCACCAGCAACCCCTACACCCTTTTCTTTCCGTTTGAAAAAACATTTATTTAGGTTAAATGTAACTATATAATTTGCCACCTTTACCATTTTTAAAAGTAAAATCTAGTGGTCATAAATTCCTTTATATGCAGGGTGCAGTGGCTCACAGTTATAATCTCGGTGCTTTGAGAGGCCAAGGAAGGTGGATCATTTAAGATCAGAGGCTCGAGATCAGCCTGGCCAACATGAGGGAAATTCATCTTTACTAAACAGACAAGAAAAATTGGCTGGGCATGCTGGCATGCACCTGTATTCCTAGCTACATGGGAGGCTGAGGCAGGAGAAGTACGTAAGCCCAGGAGGCAGAGGTTGCACTGAGCTGAGATCAGGCCACTGCACTGCAGCCTGGGAGACAGAGAGAGATTCTGTCTCTAAATAAATAAATACATCTATATTCTTTTTTATTGTTGTTGTTACACTCCACCCTTTACTTCCTGCCCTCTGGTAGCCACCATTCTACTCTCTACCTTCATGAGATCCACCTTTTAGCTCCTGTATATGGGTGAGAAATGGGAATCTTTGCAATGACCTCCAGTTCCATCCATGTGGCTGCAAATGTCAGGATGTTATTCTTTCTACGGATGAGTACTCTCCACTGTGTGTGTGTACTACATTCTCTCTATCCATTCACCCACTGACGGGCAGGTAAGTTGACTCCACATCTTGGCTACTGTGAACAGTGCTGCACCAATCGTATGAGTGCAGATATCACTTCGATACACTGATGTCCTTCCCTTTGGGTTTACACCCAGTAGTGGAATTGCTAGATCCTATCAACAGGGTACCAGGGTTCTCCTTTCTCTACCACCTTGCCAGCATTTATTTTGTCTGTGTTTCAGATAAAAGCCACTTTAATGGGATGAGATGATAGCTCACTGTGATTTCAATTGGCATGATTAGTGATACTGAGCACTTTTTCATGTACATGTTCGCCATTTGTACGTTTTGTTTGTTGAGAAATGTCTGTTCAGGTCTTTTACTAATTGTTAAATTAAATTCATTGTTTTATACCGTTGCTTGAGTTTTATGTATATTCTAGTTATTAATCCCCTCTCAGATGCATACTTCACAAATATTTTCTCCCAATTTGTCTCTTCTTCACTTTGTTGGTTGCTTCCTTTGCGGTGCAGAAGCTGCTTACTTTGATGTAATCCCGAAGGTCTATTATTTTGTTTTGATTTCTTGTGTTTTTGAGATTTCAAATAAAATGTCTTTCCTCAGACAAATGTCCTGGAGCATTTCCCCACTCTTTCCTTTTAGACGCTTAATGGTTTCAGGCCTTAAGTGTTTCTTCCATTTTCATTTGATTTCTGTGTATGGTGAGAGGTAGAGGTGCAGTTTCATCAACTGCATGTAGATACCAGTTTTCCCTGCTCCATTTATTGAAAAGACCGTCGTTTCCTGATTGCAGGTTCTTGGCACGTACAATCGTCAAAGTCCATTGGATGTGAATGCATGAATTATATCTGTGTTCTTCATTCTGCTCCATTGCTCTAAGGGCCTTTATGCCAATGTCATGCTGTTGTGCTTACTACAGCTTTGTAACATATTTTTAAGTCAGGGAGTGTGAGGCCTCCAGCACCTGTTTTGTCTTTATACCTCGAAATCTCAGGACACTGGGCATCATTTAACAATGATGATGGAGAAGGGGACGCCAGGACTCCTAGGGCCCAACATTAGATAACAGAGTGTTGGCCATGAACCAACCTCAAAGATTTCCTTTGAGTAGAAGACAGGCATCCTCATTTCCTCACCTCTCTCCTGTCCTGTGTTCTAGGAAACTCTTCAAGTAGTTCATCTTCACCCACTGAACCAAGCTCCAAAACTGGTGAGTAAAGATCCCTCTTATCTCTGCTTTTGGAAACCTGGGGAGGTTGGTATCTTGGATTCAAGCATTGGCTCAGCACCTCCCAGCTCTGTGATTGTGGGCCTGTCTTCTAACATCTCTGACCCCCAGACACTACAACAGCGAAGGGTATCTGAGGACAGCAAAGGGCTCAGTGAAGTCTCTTCATTTCAAATTTCTGCAGCTGAGACCTCCTCCAAGCTAGACGGACGAGTACAAATCTGACATCCTTCTCAGGGATAAAGTGGTGTTTTTTCTGCCTGCATTCCAAATTGGAGGATAAATTTGAGGGGACTTGAGAGAGGGAGGGGAAGGGAACATCTGATGAGGGAAAGGTGATTTAGAGAAGTTCCACTTGCCAAGGAATGAGCCCCTGTTGGTCATGATGCGACCTTGGCTGAGTCAGCAGAGCAAGAGCCTTGCAGTAAGAAGGAACGTAGTTCATCCACAAATATGACACTTCCACTTACTCACTTATTCAGCCACTGCCCTGTGCTCTGACTGTACAGTGTGGAACCCTTTCCTGCTGTTGCCATAATAAATCTCCACAATCTTCATGGATGACAACAACACAGCTTTTAAAATTATCTTACAGTGTTATAGCTCAGAAATATGAAATGCATTTCACTGGGCTAAAATCAAGGTGACTGCGAGGCTGCCTTTTCTCTGAAGGTTCCAGGCGAGAATCGGCTTTTCACATTTCCCAGCTCCCAGAGGTTCCCACGCTCCTTGGCATCTGGTCCCCATCCTCCTTCCTCGAAGCCCACAAAAGCTCATCACATCTCTCACGTGGCATCACTCAGATCCCTCTTCCTTACCTCACCTCTTTCTCTAAGTGTTGCTCTGACTTTTTCTTCCTCTTTTAAAGACTTTGGGATTCTATTGAGTTTACCAAGATAATCCATCACAATCTCCCTAAAATCACCCAAGATAACCTCTTTTTAAGTTCAGCTGATTAGCAACCATAATTCCATCTGCAATCTTTATTCCTCCTTTCATGTAAAATAACATATTCACAAGCTATGGAGGCTAGGACAGGGACATTTTGGGGGTGGGCCAGCATTCTCCTGCCTTCCACAAATGGTAAACACGATGCATTTGGCCTCTGCTCTTAGGACACTGACATTGCAGATGGGCAAATGGGAGGGCAGAATATGAATGCACAAGTGGACCAGTAATGATTGATCCATTGGGAAGCATCCGTGCATGAAATCTATTTACCTATTTATTTATCTATTTATCTATTTATGTATTTATTTATTTGCGGCGAAGTCATTCTCTGTCCCCGGGCTGGAGTGCAGTGGCATGACCTCAGCTCACCACAACCTCCGCCTCCCGGGTTCAGGCGATTCTCCTGCCTCAGCCTCCTGACTAGTTGTGATTCCAGTCCCCTCCACCACACCCAGCTAATATTCTTTTATATTTTTTAGTAGAGATGGAGTTTCACCATGTTGCGCAGATTGTCTCCAACTCCCAACCTCAAGTGATCCGACCGTCTCAGCATCCCAAAATGCTGGGACTCAAGGTGTGAGCCACTGCGCCCAGCCGAAATTTAAAATAAATAATAAAGAATTCTAAGTGTATAATTTCAGGAGACAGAGAAAGTCTCACTAATCAGATAATATTTGTGACCATAATGAAAAAAAAAAGTAGATTCAACCCCTGGAAGATTGGCGGAAGGATTTTCCACACACAGCTGTCAGCCGTGAAGGCACAAATGTGAAAACAATCTGATGTGGAAGGAAGAGGCTCTGCATTCAAATGCTGGGAATGAAGTGGGGAGAATGACAAGACGACTGTGGAGAGACGGAGAGCACTCTGGGTACACAGGAAACTAAGGAGGAACAAGGAGCGTGTGTTTGACACTCACAGCCATTGGATTCACCTCGGGGTAGCCAGGAATCCCTACATGATTAATATGACTGACATGAAAATAAGGACGCCCAAGTGCGTAACTGGAATCTAGGAGACCGTGGAAAAGGCAATTCCCGCCCCACTGGTGAAATGTGGTGCTGATTTAGACACTAAATGAATGAAGTAGATGGGTATAAGATATGTCTGTGAGGTAGAATCATTTGTAGGGAGGGCTTGCTGGATTTGATAATGCCTACTTATTTAATTTTGAATATATTAATTTCTTTCTGAGATTTATTTTTCCTACATGTAAATCAATATCTGGCAGAGGAGTGATTGATAGATAGATGAGGGGTGGTGCAAATGAAGGGACTTATTATAGCATAATATACAAGTCTGTGAATGGGAGCTTACGCCTGTAACCCAACACTTTGGGAGGCCAAGGCGTTTGGATCACTTGAGGTCAGGAGTTTGAGACCAGCCTGGCCAACATGGAGAAACCCCATGCTCTTTTTAGCAACCAGTCCTAGGGACCTCATGGAGAACTTGCCAACCACGTCTCATGGGGACAGCATTAATGTATTCATGATGGATCCACCCCCATAACTGGAACGTCTCTCAATAGGCCCAGCCTCCCACACTGCGAGATAAGTGTCAACGTGAGGTTTGGCGGGGTCAAACATCCAAACTATAGCAGTGGTATCCCCAGCATGTTCTCTGATTATTTTGAGAACTATAACTGAGAAAGCAGGAGAAAGCTGGGTATCCTGCCATCGGGGAACTTGTCCTAAACAGATGTTGTATGTGCTTAGCTGGCAACCAAGAAATGAGAGACAATCCATAAAGAGGAACTGCTATAATTAGCTTCTTATTGGATTCCCACCTTCCCCCAGGTATCCGCAGACACCTGCACATTCTGATTGGGACCTCAGTGGCTATCATCCTCTTCATCATCCTCTTCTTCTTTCTCCTTCATTGCTGCTGCTCCAACAAAAAGAGTAAGTCTCACGAAGCAGAGGTCAGAGAGCTCAGGACCATGTGGGGAAGCAGGATGGGAGCACACTGGTGTGTGTTCCTGACTGGCAGGATGGTCCCTGGACCAAGGCAGGAGCCACAGAGGCAGGGCTTTCTAGAGAGAGCACCAGACACCCTGCCCCTGCCTTCAGCTCACAGACCATTGCCTGATTCTGAACTGTATCCTCACGTCCCCTGCAGCCACTGACATCCAGGAGAAGGTTCCATGACAGGCAGAAAGGGGAGACAGAATCACTGGGATGGGAACTCAGAGCTATTCATGGGATGGGTCCTTGAGCTCAGAGAGATAGAATGTCTGGGTCTGGCTGATGACAGCTGAGGGACCTCAGGCACCTACGGCCTCCCGCTGTGTGTTGGTGTCTGCTCATGAAATGAGGACCCAAAAGTGCCCTTCCAGCTGTTTTGATGACTTCTATCTCCTACAGATGCTGCTGTAATGGACCAAGAGCCTGCCGGGGACAGAACAGTGAACAGGGAGGTAGGTTCTCCTCAGCCCAGCCTCATGGATTGAGTCTCATTCCCTAATAGTCTTGAAGAATGTGAGCACCCTCCCTCACTCAGCATTTCCCTCTCTCCAGGACTCTGATGATCAAGACCCTCAGGAGGTGACATATGCACAGTTGGATCACTGCGTTTTCACACAGACAAAAATCACTTCCCCTTCTCAGAGGCCCAAGACACCTCCAACAGATACCACCATGTACATGGAACTTCCAAATGCTAAGCCAAGATCATTGTCTCCTGCCCATAAGCACCACAGTCAGGCCTTGAGGGGATCTTCTAGGGAGACAACAGCCCTGTCTCAAAACCGGGTTGCTAGCTCCCATGTACCAGCAGCTGGAATCTGAAGGCATCAGTCTTCATCTTAGGGGATCGCTCTTCCTCACACCACAAATCTGAACATGCCTCTCTCTTGCTTACAAATGTCTAAGGTCCCCACTGCCTGCTGGAGAGAAGACACACTCCTTTGCTTAGCCCACAATTCTCTATTTCACTTGACCCCTGCCCACCTCTCCAACTGAACTGGCTTACTTCCTAGTCTACTTGAGGCTGCAATCACACTGAGGAACTCACAATTCCAGACATACAAGAGGCTCCCTCTTAACATGGCACTGAGACACGTGCTGTTCCACCTTCCCTCATGCTGTTTCACCTTTCCTCAGACTATTTTCCAGCCTTCTGTCAGTCAGCAGTGAAACTTATAAAATTTTTTGTGATTTCAATGTAGCTGTCTCCTTTTCAAATAAACATGTCTGCCCTCATTGCTTTAGGTAATGTGACACTATTTGCTGAAAGAAACCGCTGTTATCATTACCATGTCCACATAACCCCATCTGTTATCCACTGGGTTCTCTCCCCTGGACTCTGAGCTTCTGGAAGCAGGGTGGAGCCTCATTTGTCTCTGGGACTCCAATTTCCATCCAAAGATGCAGCACATAGGAGGTTCCAAGGATCATGAATCACATGAACAAGTGATATTCTTACTCTCTGCAGACCTGGAAAGCTGGCAGAGTCATTCCACGATGAAACATTTGTAGAGTCATAGGCCTTGTTAGTCTCATCTCCATGGGGACACATATCAACACATCATCTTTCATGCTATATATATATATACAGTCGCTCCTCCGTATCTGTGGGGTTTACAGGTGTTTATTGAACCAACTATAAATAAAAAATATTCAGAGAAGAAAATCCACAAACTTTCAAAAAGCAAAACTATGTTGAAGGGACACAAATGAAGCAGTGTGTAGGCCATATCAGGAATTATAAGTAATCTAGAGATGATTTCATGTATACAGGAGGATGTGCATGGGTTATATGCAAGCGCTGTGCCATTTCATGTAAGAGGCTTCAGCATCTGCAGATTTTGGTATCTGAGTGGAGATCCTGAAACCAATCACCCAGGAATAGTGAAGGATGACCGTATAAAACTGTTATTTCTAAATTTTAAATATAAATCATAAAAAAATTATAAACTAGATAAAAACAAGAAGTGTTTTTATAGTGTGAGAATAAGTTTAGATTTATTTTTTCCTACGTGTAACCCTTTGGTTTAATATTATTTATTGAGAAGACATTCTATGCCACCTTAAACCACAGGGCAGCCTTTGTCAACTCTAAAGGGACTGTGTGTACACGGATGTATTTTAGACACTGTTTCTGCTAAGGGGCTCTCTGTGTCCACACTCTTGAGGATGCTGCACTTCATGTAGCCTTATAAAACCCTTTAAATTTAGTAGCCAGAGCCCTCTAATTTGTTATTATAGGCTACTTGCTATTTTTTTTTTCTTAAGGCGGAATCTTGCTCTGTCACCCAGGCTGGACTGTAGTAGTGCAATCTCAGCTCACTGCAAACTCCGCCTCCCAGGTTCAAGCGATTCTCGTGCCTCAGCCTCTTGAGTAGATGGCATTACAGGTGTCTGCCACCAGGCACGGCTAATTTTTGAATGTTTAGCAGAGACACGGTTTCACTATGTTGGCCAGGCTGCTCTCAAACTCCTCATCTCAGTTGATTCGCCCACCTCGGCTTCCAAACATGCTGGGGGAAACTTGATTTTCTATAGCATTATGTTACTGGATATTTCCGTAAAATTTAAAATGAGGGAGGGACAGAGACAGAGAGGGAGCAAACTCCAGAGTTGGGACTCTGGAATCTTGGGTCATGAGACAAATTATAGATAAAACTATAAAAATCCAGAATTTACATGTGTGGTTTTTGCTGATAAAGTACAATTCGAAGATTGTAAATAATTGCATAATCCTTTCCTGGGAATTTAAATCATTTTAACTGGTTTTGCTGTAATACTAGAAATACAAGCATGAAAAATTCTAATGGTTTATTAGTCACAATGACTCCGAAAACATTAATAATACCTATTAGATACTTTGCATATTACACAGGAAGAAGAGTTTGAATCTCAGATAAAAACAATAAAAATACATGAAAAGTCTTTCACGTTAGCACAGATTTTAGGCATCTTGTGTTCGGGAGGTTGGATCTGAGACGTGTTGTGAGTTGGTCATAGTGAAGGACGCGAGGTGCCAATTCTAGTGAGAACAATTTCCAGGAAGCCGTGTTCCGCTCTTGAGCAAGCACCCACTGGGCCTCATGCAAGGTAGAAAGAGCCTGCGTACGTCACCCTCCCGTGATGTGGTCAACATGTAAACTGCATGGGCAGGGCGCCAAATAACATCCTGTGCGCTGCTGAGCTGAGCTAGGGGTGCGGCCGCCTGTCTGCACCGGCAGCACCATGTCGCTCATGGTCATCAGCATGGCGTGTGTTGGTGAGTCCTGGAAGGGAATAGAGGGAGGGAGCGCGGGGATGGAGATCTGGGCCCAGAGGTGGAGATATAGGCCTGGAGGTGGAGTTATGGGCCTGGAGTGGAGATCTGGGCCTGGAGGGGATATATGGGCCTAGAGATGGAGTGATGGGCCTAGAAGTGGAGATCTGGGTCTGGAGTGGAGATATGGGCCTGCAGTGGAGATATGGGCCTGGAGTGGAGAGAGGAACCTGGAGAAGAGATAGGAACCTGGATGGGAGGTAGGAGCCTAGGGTGGAGATATGGGACTGGAGTGGAGATATGGGACTGGAGTAGAGATATGGGCCTGGAGTGGAGTTATGGGCCTGGAGTGAAGTTATGGGCCTGGAGGTGGAGATATGGGCCTGGAGTGGAGATATGGGCCTGGAGGTGCAGATATGGACCTGGAGTGGAGATATGGCCCTGGAGTGGAGATGTGGGTCTGGAGTGGAGATATGGGCCTGGAGGTGGAGATAAGGGCCTGGAGTGGAGATATGGGCCTGGAGTGGAGATATGAGCCTGGAGATGGAGATATGGGCCTGGAGTGGAGATATGGGCCTGGAGGTGGAGATATGGGCCTGGAGTGGAGATATGGGCCTGGAGTGGAGATATGGGCGTGGGGTGGAGATATGGGCCTTGAGTGGAGATATGGGACTGAAGTGGAGATATGGGTGTGGGGTGGAGATATGGGACTGGAGTGCAGATATGGGCATGGGGTGGAGATATGGGACTGGAGTGGAGATATGGGCGTGGGGTGGAGATATGGGACTGGAGTGGAGATATGGGCGTGGGGTGGAGATATGGGCCTGGAGTGGAGATATGGGACTGGAGTGGAGATATGGGCGTGGGGTGGAGATATGTGCCTGGAGTGGAGATATGGACGTGGGGTGGAGATATGGGCCTGGAATGGAGATATGGGCCTGGAGTGGAGATATGGGCGTGGGGTGGAGATATGGGACTGGAGTGGAGATATGGGCCTGTTGTGGAGATATGGGCTTGGAGTGGAGATATGATCCTGGAGTGTAGTTATGGGCCTGGAGGTGGAGATCTGGGCCCGGGGTGGAGATATGGGCCTGGAGTGGAGATATGGGCCTGGGGAGGAGATATGGGCCTGGAGTGGAGATATGGGCCTGGACTGGAGTTATGGACCTAGGGTGGAGATCTGAGCCTGGATTGGAGATGTGGGCCCAGATTGGCTATATGGGCCTAGGGTGGGAATATCAGCCTGGAGTGGAGATATGTGCCTGGAGTGGAGATATGGGCTTGGGGTAGGGATATGGGAATGGAGGCTGGGTCTCTGCACAGCCGAGAGCCCTGTTCTTGGGTGCAGGTAGGCACTGAGGGTGAGTTTCCCTTCGGCCCAGGAAGGGCCTGGCTACCAAGACTCACAGCCTAGTGGGGATAGCAAGGAAGGCCTGGTTTGCCTGCAGATGGATGGTCCATCATGATCTTTCTTTCCAGCGTTCTTCTTGCTGCAGGGGGCCTGGCCACATGAGGGTAAGTCCTTCTCCAAACCTTAAGGTGTCATCTCCCCACATAAGAGGATTTTCCTGAAACGGGAGGGAAGTCCTGTCAGGGAGTCTCTCTTAAACTAGAAAGAGGGGACCCTGGGGTGCTTGGCCCACAGTTCCGACCTTGCCTCCCTGGCCTTTCATTTCCTTGGCAGAGTCAAGTTCTGTGGGGACCAGGGTTACACTAGGGTGCTCAAAGCTGGGGTGTGTGGTGGGAAAGTGGTAGGAACAGCAGATCCTCTGAGGACAAAGGTGTTACTCACACACTTCAGCGTTTCCATGACGGTAGGGGCTGCAGTGTGGCTGCTGTCATTCTACCAGAAGAGGTGGGAAACCACAGCCATGGCCCTGACATTCCAAATCCTCTGATGGGGGCTCAGTTGTTTATTTTCATTCAGGCATCTGCTGATATTCCATTCTCAAAGGACATGCCCTCCACCCCATGTCTACCCTGTGTTGTTTTATGTGAGTAATCTTACAGTATTAAAATCTAGTAGGAGTCTCTTACTCAGCACTTGCTCAAAGTTCTCAGCTGACACTTTTGTTGTAGGGAGACAGCTTGTCTTTGTGGGATGAGTCCTTCCTTTAGCCCTAGGCACCAAGGTGTGATAGCAGCCATAGAAATGTGGAAAGTGGGGAGAATCTTCTGAGCACAGGGAGGGAGGGGCGGCTCCACATCCTCCTCTCTAAGGCGGCGCCTCCTTCTCCCCAAGGTGGTCAGGACAAGCCCTTGCTTTCTACCTGGCCCAGCCTTGTGGTGCCTCCAGAACATGTGACTCTTCGGTGTCACTCTAATCTTGGGTTTAACAACTTCAGTCTGTACAAGGATGATGGGGTGCCTGTCCCTGAGCTCTACAACAGAATATTCTGGAAAAGCCTTTTCATGGGCCCTGTGACCCCGTCACACACAGGGACCTATAGATGCCGGGGTTCACACACACACTCCCCCAGTGGGGGGTCGGCACCCAGCAACCCCCTGGTGATCGTGGTCACAGGTCAGAGGGCTCCTGTCTGGGATTCTCCTTGTCCCACCTCCTGAATCCCAGAGCTTCTGGTAGGCATGTCCTTGAGGGTCCCTTCACGCAGGCCCTGACTGTATTTGGGGTAAAGGGGGATTGAATACAGGGAAATGGGTGCTGTGGTGGGAAGAATAATTGTCCCCAGTGATGACTACATTCTAATCCCTGGAGTCTGTGACTATTTATGTTATAGGGGAAGGGACTGAAGGGGAAGATGGAGCTCAGGTTGTTGATGAGTTGACCTTGAGATGGGGAGAAGGCCTGGACTGTCCCCCTGGGCTCAGTGTAATGACAAGTGTCCACAGGAAAGGAGGAGGAAGAGGGGAGTGGGGATTAGAGCAGCGTAATGGGAGTCTCCATCAGCTTTGAAGGTGGAGGAAGGCCAGGAGCCATGAATGCAGGTGGCCTATAGAGGCTGGAAAAGTCAAGGAACTGATTCTCCTGAGTCTCCAGAGGGAACGAAACCCTACAGGTGCCTTGATTTTAGCCCAGGAAAAACAGGGCCCAACTTCTGCCTCCAGAAATGGAAGGGGTCAGTGTGCTCTCTCCTGCTGCCATGCTGCTGATAATTTTCTACAGCAGCAACAGGAAACCAACACCGGAACCCAGCTCGAGGAAAAGTTAAGAAAGGACACAAGGATAGCCGGGCGTGGTGGCAGGTGCATGTAATCCTAGCGACTTGGGAGGCTGAGGGCAGGAGAATCACTTGAACCCAGGAGACAGAGGTTGCAGTGAGCCTAGACCACACCACTTCACTCCAGCCTGGGCAAAGGAGTGAGACTCTGTCTCCAAAATTAATTAATTAAAGAAACCAAACAAGGAGAAGGTTGGCTACACCAAGATCAGCAAGTGAGGGATGATGATGCCACCACCAGGCTCCATCCACATAGGGAGCGGTTGATACTCCTCCAACCAGCACCAGGAGCCAGGCTATGGAAGCTGGCACAGGCATGGCAAGAGTGGCTCCCAGTCCCCACCAGGAACAGGGTGTGTGGACACTGGTGCCTGCCTTACTGATCAGTTCATACCTCCTGCCAAGGATTCCAATTCGACCAAAAGAGATTGAACCAGGCTGCTAAGAGCCTGGATGTGCAGCCTATCCTGGTTCCTCTTCCACCCCCACATATACAGCAGGAAAGACATTAGTTCAAAATAGATACAACAGCCGAAGAGATGAGGCTGAGCCCAGCGGCAAGGGAATCAGAGGTTACTAGAGACAGAGGGACAGAGAAGAGGGAGGGAGACAGATGGAAGGACCTGCACCAGGAGTTATGGGCACAGAAAAGAACATGAAGACACAGAGAGGAAGGAGAGAGACAGACACCAGGGAGGGGAAGCCTCACTCAATCCAGGTGCCATGGATGGGATGATAAAGAGAGACACCTTCTAAATTCACAAACTCTCTTCCTAGGATTCCGCAGAAAACCTTCCCTCCTGGCCCACCCAGGTCCCCTGGTGAAATCAGAAGAGACAGTCATCCTGCAATGTTGGTCAGATGTCATGTTTGAGCACTTCCTTCTGCACAGAGAGGGGACGTTTAACCACACTTTGCGCCTCATTGGAGAGCACATTGATGGGGTCTCCAAGGGCAACTTCTCCATCGGTCGCATGACACAAGACCTGGCAGGGACCTACAGATGCTACGGTTCTGTTACTCACTCCCCCTATCAGTTGTCAGCGCCCAGTGACCCTCTGGACATCGTGATCACAGGTGAGAGTGTCCAGACATTCTTCTCATTGTCATTGGGATGCAGAGTGAATGATCCAGGACTTGGAGGCCCAGGTGGTTGTAAGGAAGATGAGCTTGGTATTCTTATGGAGAGAGACTGACTTGGTGAGGTCTGTACCAACAGAGACAGAGAAACAGGAGACACAAGTACAGACCAGGTGTCATAACAGAGGACACACACAGGGGCCTTTCCGAGAGTTAGAAAAGACAGAAGGAGTTAAAGGAGACAGACAGACAGACATGTCCCAGAGAGAGGTGTCCCTCCATGCTGACTTTGCTCAGAGACCTGGCACATGTTAGAAGTTTCATTTCTGTTTTACCTCCACAAAGTGTTCTCTACCAGGAGAACCCAAGGACACCCATATTTCTGACCTGAGTTGGGCCCTATGGCCTCAGGCCTTCTGGCACCTACAGATGCCATGTTTATTCTGACACCTCTGCCTTCCAGGTAATGGAGAGTAATCGTCCCAGGATATCATGGCCCCAGAACACCAACCCCTGTATGCTGTGTGAACTTGTAGTCTCCAGACTGGATTCTGAGGCTCACATTCCAAATAACCCCACATATGAAAGGATCACTGAGAGGCACAGAGAAAAATCAGGAACACCAAAAAGCAAAGACATAAACACACAGAGAATGAGCCAGAGGAAGGAGATTGAGAGACTCACAGACACATAAAGAGAGAGAAAAGAGGGCAGAGGAGTGGTGAGAATGATGGAAGGGAGCAGAGAAAAGCACTAAAATTAGAGTCATGAGGGAGAGGCACAAGGACATAGAAAGATGAAGATGTGGGGATGAATTGCAGAGATTCCAAAGAGAACTAGAGAGACCGAGAGGCAGAGCAAGACAGATGATAGATGGATAGATATAGATAGATGATAAATAGGTAGATGATAGATAATAGGTTATAGATACATAGATGATGATTGATTGATTCATTAATAGATGAGACATAGAGATGATGATGATGAAGACAGATAGATAATACATAGAGATAGAGAGGCAGACATAGAGAAATCATAGAGAGAGAGAGATGATACACAGATATAGATAATAGATGATTGATGGATAGATAGAAAATTGATAGATAAATAGATGATATATAGATATAGATGACAGGTAGAGAATTTGTAGATAGGCACGGAATAGATAAATAGATAGATCGATAGATAATAGATAGAAATATGCAGAAAGTTATGAACAGGACACAAAGTGAGAAACTCAGAATTAAAAAAAGTAACATCAAGTGAACCAATCCAAGGAGAGTCAGAGAGAATAAAACAATCCAAAAAGAGAAAACATATCTAGAGGTGGGGAAGTGAGGTCAGAGACCTAGAGAGACAGAGAAGGTGGAAGGAGGAAATAGACGTGAAGAGAGATGGGGTGGAGGGTGAGAGAGAGAGAGAGAGAGCATTAGGTCACAGAGCAGGGGAGTGAGTTCTCAGCTCAGGTGAAGGGAGCTGTGACAAGGAAGATCCTCCCTGAGGAAAATGCCTCTTCTCCTTCCAGGTCTATATGAGAAACCTTCTCTCTCAGCCCAGCCGGGCCCCACGGTTCTGGCAGGAGAGAGCGTGACCTTGTCCTGCAGCTCCCGGAGCTCCTATGACATGTACCATCTATCCAGGGAAGGGGAGGCCCATGAACGTAGGCTCCCTGCAGGGCCCAAGGTCAACAGAACATTCCAGGCCGACTTTCCTCTGGACCCTGCCACCCACGGAGGGACCTACAGATGCTTCGGCTCTTTCCGTGACTCTCCATACGAGTGGTCAAAGTCAAGTGACCCACTGCTTGTTTCTGTCACAGGTGAGGAAAGCCCATGGCTGTCCCATGTCCTATGATCCTAGAGCCTTAGCTGAGGAGCTTCCTGCTGAGGATGGAGAGAAGCATGGACAGATGCAGAGAGAAGACGCAGCCTCGGTGTGAGGGAGGGATCAGGGCACAGGATGGCAGACAGGGCACCTCCAAACCCTCCTACATGGCCTGCATGGAGGCCCGCGGCCAGGGCTCCAGGCACCCAGGCAGATGGAGAAAGCGGTCAGGAGAGACCCAGAGGAGGGAGACTGGGCTCAGTTTGGGGAGATCAGAGGTTCCCTCAGCCCCTCAACATTACCCATTTCCCAGAAGCCCATCCTGGCCTCTCACCCACACAGAGATGTCATCACCAGCAATCCCTACACCCTTTACTTTTCTTTGAAGAAATATTTATTGAGGATAAATATACCTATATAGCTTACCACCTTTAACATTTTTTTTTGAGGTGGAGTCTAGCTCTGTCCCCTATGCTGGAGTGCAGTGGCACAATCTCAGCTCACTGCAACCTCCGCCTCCTGGGTTCAAGCGATTCTCCTGCCTCAGCCACCTGAGTAGCTGGTGCTACAGGCACGCACCACCATGCCAGGCTACTTTTTGTATTTTTAGTAGAGAGGTGGTTTCACCATGTTGGTCGAGCTGGTCTCGAACTCCTGACCACATGATCCACCCGCATCAGCCTCCCAAAGTGCTGGGATTACAGGCATGGGCCACCGCACCCAGCCACATTTACCATTTTTAAGTGTAAAGTCTAGTGGTCATAAATACATTTATATATATATATATATACATTTTTTTTACCCTCCACCCTTTTCTTCCTGTCCTCCAGTAGCCACCATTCTACTCTCTACCTTCATGAGATCCACCTTTTAGCTCCTGTATATGGGTGAGAAATGGGAATCTTTGTAATGACCTCCAGTTCCATCCATGTGGCTGCAAATGACAGGATGTTATTCTTTCTATGGATGAGTAGTCTCCACTGTGCGTATGTACTACATTCTCTCTATCCATTCACCCACTGATGGGCAGGTAGGTTGACTCCTCATCTTGGCTACTGTGAACAGTGCTGCACCAATCATACGAGTGCAGATATCACTTCGATATATTGATTTACTTTCCTTTGGATATAAACCCAGTAGTGAAATTGCTGGATACTATGAAAGTTCTCTTTTTTTTTTTTTTCTTTTTTGAGAAAGAGTTTCCCTCCTTAGCCCAAGCTGGAGTCAAAGTGGTGCGACCTTGGCTCATTGCAACCTCCGCCTCCTGGGTTCCAATGATTTTCCTGCCTCAGCCTCCCTAGTAGCTGGGATTACAGGTGCACGCCACCATGCCTGGCTACTTTTTGGTTTTTTTAGTATAGATGCGGTTTCCCCATGTTGGCTGGGCTGCTCTCAAACTCATGACCTCAACTGAGGTGCCCGCCTCAGTCTCCCAAAGTGCCGGGATTACAGGCCTGATCCACCACACCCAACCTCTTTTTAGTTCTTTAAAGGACTTCCATACTTTTCTCCGTAATCGCTGTACTAATTTACACTCCTCCCAACAGGGTACCAGGGTTCTCCTTTCTCTACCACCTTGCCAGCATTTCTTTTGCCTGTCTTGCAGCTAAAAGCCATTTTATTTTATTTCATTTTATTTTGAGGTGGAGTTTCGCTCTTGTCACCCAGGCTGAGTGCAGTGGTGCGATCTCGGCTCACCGCAACCTCCACCTCCCAGGTTCAAGCGATTCTCCTGCCTCAGCCTCCCGAGTAGCTGGAATTACAGGCACACGCCACCACGCCCTACTAATTTTTGTATTTTTAGTAGAGACAGCGTTTCTCTATGTGGGTCATACTGGTCTCAAACTCCCGACCTTATGAGATTCACCCACCTCAGGCTCTCAAAATTCTAGGATGACAGACGTGAGCCACCTCGCCCGGCCTAAAAGCCATTTTAATGGAGTGAGATGAAAACTCACTTTGATTTTAATTTGCGTTTCTCTGATGATGAGTGATACTGAGCAGTTTTTCGTATGTGGGGAAATTTCATGTCTTTTGCTCCTTTTTCAATTAAATCATTTGTTTTATTGAGTTGTTTGAGCTTCTTATATTTCTAGTTATTAATCCCATCTCAGATGCATAGTTTGCACATATTTGCTCCCAATCTGTGGGTTGTCTCTTCACTTTGTTGGTTTATTTTTAGCAGTGCAGAAGTTGCTTAGTTTGAGGTAATCCCAATGGTCTATTTTTGCTTCGATTACTTGTGTTTTCAAGGTTTAAAACAAAATGTCTTTCTTCAGACAAATGTCCTGGAGCATTTCCCCAATATTTTGTTCTACGTGTTTCATAGGTTCAGGCCTTAGACTCACATCTTTAATCCATTTTCATTTGATTTTTGTGTATGGTGACAGGTAGAGGTGCAGTTTCATTCCTCTGCATGTCGATGTCCAGGTTTCCCTGCACTGTTTATTGAAAAGACTGTCCTTTCCTGATTGTGAGTTCTTGGCACCTTTGTCAAAGTCCATTGGATGGGCTGGGCTTGGTAGCTAACACCTGCAATTTCAGCACTTTGGGAGGCCGAGGCGGGTGGATTACCTGAGGCCAGGAGTTCAAGATCAGTCTGGACGACGTGATGAAACATCGTCTCCACTAAAAATATAAAAATTAGCTGAGCATGGTGGTCAGCACCTGTAATACCACTACTCAGGAGTTTGAGGCAAGAGAATGATTGAACCCAGGAGGCTGAGGTTGCAGTGAACTGAGATTGCACCTCTGCACTCCAGCCTGAGTGACAGAGCAAGACTCCATCTCAAAAGAAAAAATAAAAACCATTGGATGTAAATGCATGGAATATATCTGTGTTATTCATTCTGCTCCATTGTTCTATGTGCCTTTCTTTATGCCAATGTCATGCTGTTTTGCTTACTACAGCTCTGTAACATATTTTGAGATCAGGTAGTGTGATGCTCCTGTTTTCTCTTTATACCTTGAAGTCTCAAGACAGTGGGTGTCACATAAAAAAATTATGGAAAAAAGGATCCCAGGACTCCCAGGGCCCAATATTAGATAACAGAGTGTTGGCCATGAACCATCCTCAAAGATTTCCACTGAGTAGAGGACAGACACCCTCATTTCCTCACCTCTCTCCTGTCTCGTGTTCTAGGAAACTCTTCAAATAGTTGGCCTTCACCCACTGAACCAAGCTCCGAAACCGGTGAGTACAGAACCCTCTTATATCCGCTTTTGGAAACCTGGGGAGGTGGAAACCTTGGATTCAGGCGTTGACTCAGCATCTCACAGCTCTGACATTGTACCCCTGTCTTCCACCATCTCCGAACTCCAGATACTCCAACAGCGAAAGGGATCTGGGCCCAACACAGGGCTCAGTGAAATCTCTTCATCCCTCATTTTATGGAGCTGAGACCTCCTACAAGCTAGAAGAATGATTGCCAATCTGACATCCTTCTCAGGAAAAATGCAATGTTTGTTCTGCCTGCATTCCTAACTGGAGGATAAATTCCTGGAGACTTGAGAGAGGGAAGGGAAGGGAACATCTGATGAGGGCGAGGTGTTTTAGAGAAGTTCCACTTGCCAAGGAATGAGCTCCTGTAGGTCATGAAGCAACCCTGGCTGACTCCGCAGAGAAAGCGCCTTGCCGTAACAGAGAACAGAGCTCATGCACGCACACTTCGACTCACTGACTCATTCAGCCACGGCCCCATGCTCAGGCTGTGCAGTGTGGAAGCTTTTCCTATTGTTGCCATAACAAATTTCCACAAGATTCGTGGGTGAAAACAAAACGGTTTTTTAATTATCTTACAGTGCTCTAGCTCAAAGTATGAAGTGCATCTCACTGGGCTAAAATCAAGGCGACAGCAAGGCTGCCTTCCCTCTGAGGGTTCCAGGCAAGAATCTGCTTCTCACTTGTCCCAGCTTCTAGAGGCTCCCACATTCCTTCGCTCCTGGTCCCCTTCCTCCTTCCTCAAAGCCCACAAAGGCTGGTCACATCTCACGTGGCATCACTCAGACCCTTCTTCCTTACCACACCTCTTTATCTGAATGCTGCTCTCCCTTCTTCCTCATCTTTTGAAAACTTGGGGATTCTATTGGGTTCACCAAGATGAAAATCCATCATAATCTCCAGGAAATCATTCAGGATACCCTTGTTTTAAGTTCAGCTGATTAGCAACCATAATTCCATCTGCAATCTTCATTCCTCCTTTCCATGTAAAATAAGATATTCACAAGCTATGGAGGCTAGGACAGGGACATTTTGGGGTGGGACAGCATTCTCCTACCTTCCACAAACAGTGAACAAGATGCATTTGGCCTCTGCCCTTGGGACACTGATATTGCAGATGGTTAAATGGGAGGGCAGAAAATGAATGCACAAGTGGACCAATAAATGAATGATCCATTGGGAAGCATCTGTGTATGAAATCTATTTGTTTGTTTCTTCGTTTGTTTATTGAGACAGAGTCTCCCTCCGTCTTCCAGGCTACAGTGCAGTGTCACCATCTTGGCTCACTGCAACCTGCACCTTCTGGATCCAAGTGATTCTCCTGCGTCAGCCTCTCGAGTAGCTGGGATTACAGGCAACTGCCACCATGCCCGGCTAATTCTTTTTGTATATTTTTTGTAGAGGATGTTTCACCATCTTCGCCAAGCTTCTCTGAAACTCCCAACCTCAAGTGATCCGACCGTCTCAGCATCCTAAAGTACTGGGATAACTGGCGTGAGCCACTGTGCCCAGCCAGAATTTAAAATAAATAATACATAATGCTGAGTGTATGATTTTGGGTGACAGAGAAGATCTCACTAATCAGATATTTGTGACATTAATGAAAAACACGGATTGAACCCCTGAAAGATTGGCGGAAGGATTTTCCACACACAGCTGTCAGCCGTGAAGGCAGAAAGCTGAAAACAATCTGATGTGGAAGGAAGAGGCTCTGCCTCAAATGCTGGGAATGAGATGGGGAGAATGACAAGACGACTGTGGAGAGACGGAGAGCACACTGGGTACACAGGAAACTAAGGAGCAACAAGGAGTGTGTGTTTGACACTCACAGCCATTGGATTCACCTCGGGGTAGCCAGGAATCCCTACATGATTAATAGTGACTGACATGAAAATAAGGGAGGCCCAGGTGCGTAACTGGAATCTAGGAGACCGTGGAAAAGGCAATTCCCGCCTCACTGGTGAAATGTGGTGCTGATTTAGACCCTAACTGGGTGAAGCAGATGGATATAAGATATGCTTGTGAGGTGGAATCATTGGCTGGAAAGGCTTGCTGGGTATGATTTTCCTAGTTGTCTAATCCTCGCTTAATTTCTTTCTGAGCTTTATTCCTACTACACATAAATCAATACCTGGCAAAGGAGTGACAGATATATGAGGGGTGGTGGAAATGAAGGGACCTATTACAGCATAATATACAAGTCTGTGAACGGTGGCTCACGCCTGTAACCCAGCACTGCAGGAGGCCAAGGCGGGTGGATCACACGAAGTCAGCAGTTCGAGACCAGCCTGGCCAACATGGTGAAACCCTGTCTCTAGGAAAAACACAAAAATTAGCCGAACATGGTGGTGCATCCCTGTAATGCCAGCTCCTACTCTGGAGGATGAAGCAGGAGAATGACTTCAACCCAGGAGGTGGAGTTTGCAGTGAGTGGAGATTGCATCACTGCACTCCAGCCTGGGTGACACAAGGAGACTCCGTCTCAAAAAATAAAAATAAGAAATGCATAAATATAAATATAATATAACACACGCAAATGACAAAGGGACCTGAATTCCAATCATGATTTTTCTATTTCTCTATAATTACTTCTTTGATCCTTTATCTTATCCATTAGGCAATGAGCCTAAAACCTCTTCCCTATTTGGCTTTCTGTGAGCATGAGATCATATAGAAAATGTGAAAGCCCGCTGAATCCTCCAGCACAGATCCTGGAATACACAAAGTGCTCTGTTCATCACAAAAAAAACATGCCCTCTCACCCAAATCCCCCACCTCACCCCTACTTCCAATCATCTGTGGAGATTCAGATAGGCCATGGGGAGGTAAATTCTAATACTCCTTGGAGTGAGTCCAGATCTTGGAATCAGAGATCAGCGTCAGCACTAGCTCCTGCTCCCCTTTCCTACTAATTCACAGGAGGACAGGTGGTATTGAAGCAATAGATGGCCGAGGGTGTGGTCCTTCCCCCAGCCTCTGGGGTAGAACAGCAGCCTAACATGTGTCTCCTGAGATCACAAAGAGTAGCACGTTTCACATGGGCTTCAACACTATTTCCTGGCCATTTGACATAAGAGAATTCTACTTCGCTTTTTTTATCTTGATTTCACTTTTGTTTCCTTTTCTTGGAGAATGCAAGTTGTTTGACTCAAGAATGCCGTGGATGTATAAATCCTAAAGCACATTCGCTGTGTATCAATCCCAGTGCAGTCTTCCCAGAGAAGACTCTAAACACCTCCTGGACTGCACCTGGGCCTATGCCAATTCCTATCACTCACCGTCACTCCAGGAAGACAGAACACACAGAGAATACATTACACAGGCAGGTTCATTACTAACAGATAAGCAGCGAGTGACAACAGAAGCCTACATTTCAATGTGAGCCAGTCCCTCAAGGCTCAGAAAAGCTGCTCGGGACATATGGAGTCACCCCATTTGCAGTGTAGCTGGGGGAAGCCAGAAAGCAGCCCAGCCTGGGTTTTGTACCCTGGAGCCACAGGAAGCACTCAGCTAAAGCACTGCATGACGCCTTCCTCCAGGAAGAACAGGAAGACAGCCCAGGCTGTTCTGAGACATTCCTCCTGATCTCAGGACGTTGCTGTCGTAGTTTTTTTTTGTTGCTCTAAAGGAAAACTTGAGCCTCGG
The DNA here is from genome assembly GCF_000001405.40 of Homo sapiens. Classification (NCBI taxonomy): domain Eukaryota; kingdom Metazoa; phylum Chordata; class Mammalia; order Primates; family Hominidae; genus Homo; species Homo sapiens. The sequence goes on along the minus strand of NT_113949.2, from coordinate 31,862 downwards.
TAACTTCTAAAGAAAAGAGATCGGTTTGCCTCACCGTTCTGCAGGCTGTACTGGAAGCATGGCACCAGAATCTATTTCTTGTGACGGCCTCAGGCTGCTCCCACTCTGGCAGAAGGGAAGGAGGGTCTGTCTGTGCAGAGACCGCAGAGATCACACGGCAAGAGAGAGAGTAAGGGGGAGGGGGAGCGATGGAGCTTCCAAGCTCTTTTGAACAACCAGCTCTCCGGGAACTAATAGAGGGGGAACTTGCTAACCCCGTCTCCTTGGGACAGCATTGTTCTGTTCATGATGGATCCACCTCCATGACCCAAACACCTCCCAAGAGGCCCAACCTCCCACAGTGGGGGTGAAATTTCCATGTGAGGTTTGAAGGGGTCAGACATCTCAACTAAAGTAGTTGTATCCTCAGCACGTTCTATGGTTACTATGAGAGCTATAATTGAGAAAGCAGGGGAAAGCTAGGTCTCCCACCATTTGGGTGCTTGTCCTAAAGAGACGTTGTATGTGGTTACCTGTCAATCAAGAAATGCGAGACAATTCATAAAGAGGAACTGCTATGATTAGCTTCTTATTGGTGTCTCCTCTTCTTCCAGGTAACCCCAGACACCTACACGTTCTGATTGGGACCTCAGTGGTCAAACTCCCTTTCACCATCCTCCTCTTCTTTCTCCTTCATCGCTGGTGCTCCAACAAAAAAAGTAAGTCTCACGAAGCAGAGGCCAGAGAGCTCAGGGCCATGTGGGGAAGCAGGATGGTAGCACGCGGGTGTGTGTTCCTCACAGGCAGGATGGTCCCTGGCCCAAGGCAGGAGCCACAGAGGCAGGACTTTCTAGAGAGAGCACCAGATTCCCTTCCCCTGCCTTCAGCTCACAGACCATTGCCTGATTCTGAACTGTACCCTCACGTCCCCTGCAGCCACTCACATCCAGGAGAAGGTTCCATGACAGGCAGAAAGTGGGAGATAGAATCAATGGGATGGGAACTCAGAGCTATTCATGGGATGGGTCCTTGAGCTCAGAGAGATAGAATGTCTGAGTCTGCTGTTGGCAACTGAGGGACCTCAGGCACCTATGGCCTCCCCCTGTTTGTTGGTATCTGCTTATGAAATGAGGACCCAGAAGTGCCCTCCGAGCTGTTTTGTTGACTTCCATCTTCTACAGATGCATCTGTAATGGACCAAGGGCCTGCGGGGAACAGAACAGTGAACAGGGAGGTAGGTGCTCCTCGGCCCAGCCTCGTGGCTAGTCTTATTCCCAAAGAGTCCTGAAAAATGTGAGCACCCTCCCTCACTCAGCATTTCCCTCTCTCCAGGATTCTGATGAACAGGACCATCAGGAGGTGTCATACGCATAATTGGATCACTGTGTTTTCACACAGAGAAAAATCACTCCCCCTTCTCAGAGGCCCAAGACACCCCCAACAGATACCAGCATGTACATAGAACTTCCAAATGCTGAGTCCAGATCCAAAGCTGTCTTCTGTCCACGAGCACCACAGTCAGGCCTTGAGGGGATCTTCTAGGGAGACAACAGCCCTGTCTCAAAACCGGGTTGCCAGCTCCCATGTACCAGCAGCTGGAATCTGAAGGCATCAGTCTTCATCTTAGGGGATCGCTCTTCCTCAAACCACGAATCTGAACATGCCTCTCTCTTGCTTACAAATGTCTAAGGTCCCCACTGCCTGCTGGAGAGAAAACACACTCCTTTGCTTAGCCCACAATTCTCCATTTCACTTGACCCCTGCCCACCTCTCCAACCTAACTGGCTTACTTCCTAGTCTACTTGAGGCTGCAATCACACTGAGGAACTCACAATTCCAAACATACAAGAGGCTCCCTCTTAACACAGCACTTAGACACGTGCTGTTCCACCTTCTCTCATGCAGTTCCACCTCCCCTCAGACTATCTTTCAGCCTTCTGTCAGCAGTAAAACTTATAAATTGTTTTTAGTAATTTCAATGTAGTTTTCCCTCCTTCAAATAAACATGTCTGCCCTCATGGTTTCGGTAATGGGACTCTTTTCTTGCCTAAGGCTTCTGGTGTTATCATTACCATGTCCACATAACCCCATCTGTTCTCCACTGGGTTCTCACCCCTGGACTCTGAGCTTCTGGAACAGGGTGGACCCTGACTTGTCTCTGAGACTCCAATTTCCATCCAAAGATGCAGCACATAGGAAGTTCCAAGGATCGTGAATCACATGAACAAGTGATATTCTTACTCTCTGCAGACCTGGAAAGCTGGCAGAGTCATTCCATGATGAAACATTTGTAGAGTCATAGGCCTTGTTAGTCTCATCTCCACGGGGACACATGTCAACGCATCATCTTTCATACTATAAATATACAGTCGCTCCTCCGTATCTGTGGGGTTTACAGGTGTTTATTGAACCAAGTATAAATCAAAAATATTCAGAGAAAAAGCCCACAAAGTTCCAAAAAGCAAAACTGTGTTGAATGCACACAAATGAGGTGGTGTATAGGCTGTATCAGGAATTATAAGTAATCAAGAGATGATTTCATGTATACAGGAGGATGTGCATGGGTTATATCCAAATGCTGTGTCATTTTATGTAAGAGGCTTGAGCATCTGCAGATTTTAGTATCTGAGTGGAGATCCTGAAACCAATCACCCATGAATAGTGAAGGATGACGGTATAGGACTTTTATTTCTCAAATTTAAATATAAATCATAAAAAATGTACAATAACTAGATAAAAACTAAGAAGTGTTTTTATAGTGTGAGAATAAGTTTAGATTTATTATTTCCTATGTGTAACCCTTTGGTTTAATATTATTTATTGAGAAGACATTCTATGCCACCTTAAACCACACGGCAGCCTTTGTCAACTAAAAAGGGACTGTGTGTACACGGATGTGTATTTTAGACACTGTCTCTGCTAAACGGCTCTCTGTGTCCACATTCTTGAGGATGCTCCACTTTATGTAGCCCCATAGAACCCTTTAAATTTAGTAGCCAGAGGCCTCTAATTTGTTATTATAGGCTATTTGCTATTTTTATTTTCTTGAGGCGGAGTCTTGCTCTGTCGCCCAGGCTGGACTGCAGTGGTGCAATCTCAGCTCACTGCAACCTCCGCCTCCCAGGTTCAAGCGATTCTCGTGCCTCAGCCTCTTGGGTAGCTGGTGTTACAAGTTCCTGCCACTGGGCACGGCTAATTTTTGGATTTTTAGCAGAGACACGGTTTCACTGTGTTGCCAGGCTGCTCTCAAACTCCTTATATCAGTTGATCCGCCCACCTCGGCTTCCCGACGTGCTGGGGGAAACTTGATTTTCTATAGCATTATGTTACTGGATATTTCTGTAAAATTTAAAATGAGGGAGGGAGAGAGACAGAGAGAGAGCAAACTCCAGAGTTGGGACTCTGGAAACTTGGGTCATGAGACAAATTTTAGATAAATCTACAAAAATCCAGAGTTTAAATGTGTGGTTTTTGCTGATAACGTACAATTCAAAGATTGTAAATAATTGCATAATCCTTCCCTGGGAATTTAAATCATTTTAACTGGTTCTGCTGTAATACTAGAAATACAAGCATGAAAAATTCTAATGGTTTATTAGTCACAATGACTCTGAAAACCTTAATAATACCTATTAGATATTTTGCATATTACACAGGAAGAAGAGTTTGAATCTCAGATAAAAACAATAAAAATACATGAAAAGTCTTTCACGTTAGCACAGATTTTAGGCATCTCGTGTTCAGGAGGTTGGATCTGAGACGTGTTTTGAGTTGGTCATAGTGAAGGACGCTAGGTGTAAATTCTAGTGAGAACAATTTCCAGGAAGCCGTGTTCCGCTCTTGAGCGAGCAACCACTGGGCCTCATGCAAGGTAGAAAGAGCCTGCGTACGTCACCCTCCCATGATGTGGTCAACATGTAAACTGCATGGGCAGGGCGCCAAATAACATCCTGTGCGCTGCTGAGCTGAGCTGGGGCGCGGCCGCCTGTCTGCACCGGCAGCACCATGTCGCTCACGGTCGTCAGCATGGCGTGTGTTGGTGAGTCCTGGAAGGGAATAGAGGAAGGGAGTGTGGGGTTGGAGATCTGGGCCCAGAGGTGGATATATAGGCCTGGAGGTGGAGTTGTGGGCCTGGAGTGGAGATCTGGGCCTGGAGTGGATATATGGGCCTAGAGATGGAGTGATGGGCCTAGAAGTGGAGATCTGGGCCCAGAGGTCGAGATATAGGCCTGGAGGTGGAGTGATGGGACTGTAGTGGAGATCTGGGCCTGGAGTGGAGATAGGAACCTGGAGGGGAGATAGGAACCTGGAGGGGAGATATGGGCCTGGAGGTGGAGATATGGGCCTGGAGTGGAGTCATGGGCCTGGAGGTGGAGTTACGGGCCTGCAGTAGAGATATGGGCCTGAAGTGGAGACATGGGCCTGGAGTGGAGATATGGGCCAGGAGTGGAGATATGGGCCTAGAGGTCGATATCTGGGCCTGGAGTGGAGATATGGGCCAGGAGTGGAGATATGGGCCTAGAGGTCGATATCTGGGCCTGGAGAGGAGATATGTGCCTAGGATGGAGATACGGGCCTGGGTGTGGAGATATGGGACTGGAGAGGATATATGGGCCTGGAGTGGAGATATGGGACTGGAGAGGAGATATGGACCTGGAGTGGAGATAAGGGCCTGGATTGGAGATATGGGCCCAGGGTGGAGATCTGAGCCTGGATTGGAGATATGGGCCTGGATTGGCGATATGGGCTTAGGGTGGAAATATCGGCCTGGAGTGGAGATATGGGCCTGGAGTGGAGATATGGGCTTGAGGTGGGGATATGGACCTGGAGGCTGGGTCTCTGCACAGCCGACAGCCCTGTTCTTGGGTGCAGGTAGGCACTGAGGGTGAGTTTACCTTCAGCCCAGGAAGGGCCTGGCTACCAAGACTCACAGCCCAGTGGGGGCAGCAAGGGTGCCCTGGTTTGCCTGCAGATGGGTCATCCATCATGATCTTTCTTTCCAGGGTTCTTCTTGCTGCAGGGGGCCTGGCCACATGAGGGTGAGTCCTTCTCCAAACCTTCGGGTGTCATCTCCCCACATAAGAGGATTTTCCTGAAATGGGAGGGAAGTCCTGTCAGGGAGTCTCTCATAAACTAGGAAGAAGGGACCCTGGGGTGCTGGGCCCACATTTCTGACCTTGCCTCCCTGGCCTTTCATTCCCTTGGCAGAGTCAAGTTCTGTGGGGACCAGGGTTAGACTACGGTGCTCAAAGCTGGGGTGTGTGGTGGGGAAGTGGTAGGAACAGCAGATCCTCTGAGGACAAAGGTGTTACTCACACACTTCAGCGTTTCCATGACGGTAGGGGCTGCAGTGTGGCTGCTGTCATTCTACCAGAAGAGGTGGGAAAACCACAGCCATGGCCCTGACATTCCAATCCTCTGATGGGGACTCAGTTGTTTATTTTCGTTCAGGCATCGGCTGATATTCCATTCTCAAAGGACATGCCCTCCACCCCATGTCTACCCTGTGTTGTTTTATGTGAGTAATCTTACAGTATTAAAATCTAGTAGGAGTCTCTTACTCAGCACTTGCTCAAAGTTCTCAGCTGACACTTTTGTTGTAGGGAGACACCTTGTGTTTGCGGGATGGGTTCTTCCTTTAGCCCTGGGCACCAAGGTGTGATAGCAGCCATAGAAACTTGGAAAGCGAGGAGAATCTTCAGAGCACAGGGAGGGAGGGGCGGCTCCACATCCTCCTCTCTAAGGCGGTGCCTCCTTCTCCCCACGGTGGTCAGGACAAGCCCTTGCTGTCTGCCTGGCCAAGCCCTGTGGTGCCTCCAGGATATGTGATTCTTCAGTGTCATTCTTATCTTGGGTTTAACAACTTCAGTCTGTAAAAGGAAGATGGGGTGCCTGTCCCTGAGCTCTACAACATAATATTCTGGAACAGCCTTTTCATGGGCCCTGTGACCCCAGCACACGCAGGGACCTATACATGTCGGGGTTCACAACCACACTACCCCAGTGGGTGGTCGGCACCCAGCAACCCCCTGGAGATCACGGTCACAGGTCAGAGGGCTCCTGTCTGGGATTCTCCTTGTCCCACCTCCTGAATCCCAGAGCTCCTGGTGGGCGTGTCCTTGCGGGTCCCATCATGCAAGTCCTGACTGTATTTGGGGTAAAGGGGGATTGAATACAGGGAAATGGGTGCTGTGGTGGGAAGAATAATTGTCCCCAGTGATGACTACATTCTAATCCCTGGAGTCTGTGACTATTTATGATATAGGGGAAGGGACTGAAGGAGAAGATGGAGCTCAGGTTGTTGATGAGTTGACCTTGAGATGGGGAGACAACCTGGACTGTCCTGATGGGCTCAGTGTAGTCACAGGGGTCCACAGGAAAGGAGGAGGAAGAGGGGAGTGGGGATTACAGCAGCATAATGGGAGTCTCCATCAGCTTTGAAGGTGGAGGAAGTCCAGGAGCCATGAATGCAGGTGGCCTATAGAGGCTGGAAAAGTCAAGGAACTGATTCTCCTGAGTCTCCAGAGGGAACGAAGCCCTGCAGGTACCTTGATTTTACCCACGACAAACAGGGTCCGATTTCTGTCTCCAGAATTGGAAGGGGTTAGTGTGCTCTCTCCTGCTGCCATGCTTCTGATAATTTTCTACAGCAGCAACAGGAAACCAACACTGGAACCCAGGTCAAGGACAAGTTAAGAAACAACACAAGGATAGCCAGGCATGGTGGCAGGTGCATGTAATCCTAGCGACTTGGGAGGCTGAGGGCAGGAGAATCACTTGAACCCAGGAGACAGAGGTTGCAGTAAGCCTAGACCACACCACTTCACTCCAGCCTGGGCAAAGGAGTGAGACTCTGTCGCCAAAATTAATTAATTAATTAAAGAAACCAAACAAGGAGAAGGTTGGCTACACTGAGATCAGCAAGGCTCGGATGATGATGCCACCACCAGGCTCCATCCACATAGGGAGCGGTTGATACTCCTCCAACCAGCACCAGGAGCCAGGCTATGGAAGCTGGCACTGGCATGGCAAGAGTGTCTCCCAGTCCCTACCAGGAACAGGGTGTGTGGCCACTGGTGCCTGCCTTACTGATCAGTTCATACCTCCTGCCAAGGATTCCAATTCGTCCAAAAGAGATTGAACCAGGCTGCTAAGAGCCTGGATGTGCAGCCTATCCTGGTTCCTCTTCCACCCCCACACAGACAGCAGGAAAGACATTAGTTCGAAATAGATACAACAGCCCAAGAGATGAGGCTGAGCCCAGCGGCAAGGGAATCAGAGGCTACTAGAGACAGAGGGACAGAGAAGAGTGAGGGAGACAGATGGAAGGACCTGCACCAGGAGTTATGGGCACAGAAAAGAACATGAAGACACAGAGAGGAAGGAGAGAGATAAGACACCAGGAAGGGGAAGCCTGACTCAATCCAGGTGCCATGGATGGGATGATAAAGAGAGACACCTTCTAAACTCACAACCTCTCTTCCTAGGAGTCCACAGAAAACCTTCCCTCCTGGCCCACCCAGGTCGCCTGGTGAAATCAGAAGAGACAGTCATCCTGCAATGTTGGTCAGATGTCATGTTTGAACACTTCCTTCTGCACAGAGAGGGGATGTTTAACGACACTTTGCGCCTCATTGGAGAACACCATGATGGGGTCTCCAAGGCCAACTTCTCCATCAGTCGCATGAAGCAAGACCTGGCAGGGACCTACAGATGCTACGGTTCTGTTACTCACTCCCCCTATCAGTTGTCAGCTCCCAGTGACCCTCTGGACATCGTGATCATAGGTGAGAGTGTCCAGACTTTCTTCTCATTGTCATTGGGATGCAGAGTGAATGATCCAGGACTTGGAGGCCCAGGTGGCTGTAAGGAAGATGAGCTTGGTATTCTTATGGAGAGAGACTGACTTGGTGAGGTCTGTGCCAACAGAGACAGAGAAACAGGAGACACAAGTAGAGACCAGGTGTCATAACAGAGAACAGACACAGGGGCCATACCGGGAGTTTGAAAAGACAGAAAGAGTTAAAGGAAACACACAGACAGACATGTCCCAGAGAGAGGTGTCCCTCCATGCTGACTTTGCTCAGAGACCTGGCACAGGTTAGAAGTTTCATTTCTGTTTTACCTCCACAAAGTGTTCTCTACCAGGAGAACCCAAGGACACCCATATTTCTGACCTGAGTTGGGCCCTGTGGCCTCAGGCCTTGTGGCACCTACAGATGCCATGTTTATTCTGACACCTCTGCCTTCCATGTAATGGAGAGTAATCGTCCCAGGATATCATGGCCCCACAACACCAACCCCTGTATGCTGTGTGAACTTGTAGTCTCCAGACTGGATTCTGAGGCTCATATTCCAAATAAGCCCACTTATGAGAGGATCAGTGAGAGGCACAGAGAGAAATCAGGGACACCAAAAAGCAAAGACATAAACACACAGAGAATGAGCCAGAGGAAGGAGATTGAGAGACTCACAGACACATAAAGAGAAAAGAGGGCAGAGAAGTGAGAATGATGGAAGGGAGCAGAGAAAAGCACTAAAATTAGACTCCTGAGGGAGAGGCACAAGGACATTGAAAGATGGAGATGTGGGGATGAATTGCAGAGATTCCAAAGAGAACTAGAGAGACCGAGAGGCAGAGCAAGACAGATGATAGATGGATAGATATAGATAGATGATAAATAGGTAGATGATAGATAATAGGTTATAGATACATAGATGATGATTGATTGATTCATTAATAGATGAGACATAGAGATGATGATGATGAAGACAGATAGATAGATAATACATAGAGATACAGAGGCAGACATAGAGAAATCATAGAGAGAGAGAGATGATACATAGATATAGATAATAGATGATTGATGGATAGATAGACAATTGATGGATAAATAGATGATATATAGATATAGATGACAGGTAGAGAATTTGTAGATAGGCACCGAATAGATAAATAGATAGATCGATAGATAATAGATAGAAATATGCAGAAAGTTATGAACAGGACACAAAGTGAGAAACTCAGAATTAAAAAAAGTAACATCAAGTCAACCAATCCAAGGAGAGTCAGAGAGAATAAAACAATCCAAAAAGAGAAAACATATCTAGAGGTGGGGAAGTGAGGTCAGAGACCTAAAGAGACAGAGAAGGTGGAAGGAGGAAATAGACATGAAGAGCGATGGGGTAGAGGGTGAGAGAGAGAGAGAGAGAGCATTAGGTCATAGAGCAGGGGAGTGAGTTCTCAGCTCAGGTGAAGGGAGCTGTGACAAGGAAGATCCTCCCTGAGGAAACTGCCTCTTCTCCTTCCAGGTCTATATGAGAAACCTTCTCTCTCAGCCCAGCCGGGCCCCACGGTTCTGGCAGGAGAGAATGTGACCTTGTCCTGCAGCTCCCGGAGCTCCTATGACATGTACCATCTATCCAGGGAAGGGGAGGCCCATGAACGTAGGCTCCCTGCAGGGACCAAGGTCAACGGAACATTCCAGGCCAACTTTCCTCTGGGCCCTGCCACCCATGGAGGGACCTACAGATGCTTCGGCTCTTTCCGTGACTCTCCATACGAGTGGTCAAAGTCAAGTGACCCACTGCTTGTTTCTGTCACAGGTGAGGAAAGCCCATGGCTGTCCCATGTCCTATGATCCTAGAGCCTTAGCTGAGGAGCTTCCTGCTGATGATGGAGAGAAGCATGGACAGATGCAGAGAGAAGACGCAGCCTCGGTGTGAGGGAGGGATCAGGGCACAGGATGGCCGACAGGGCACCTCCAAACCCTCCTACATGGCCTGCATGGAGGCCCACGGCCAGGGCTCCAGGCACCCAGGCAGATGGAGAAAGCGGTCAGGAGAGACCCAGAGGAGGGAGACTGGGCTCAGTTTGGGGAGATCAGAGGTTCCCTCAGCCCCTCAACCTTACCCATTTCCCAGAAGCCCATCCTGGCCTCTCACCCACACAGAGATGTCATCACCAGCAACCCCTACACCCTTTACTTTTCTTTGAAGAAATATTTATTGAGGATAAATATACCTATATAGCTTACCACTTTTAACATTTTTTTTTGAGGTGGAGTCTAGCTGTGTCCCCTATGCTGGAGTGCAGTGGCACAATCTCAGCTCACTGCAACCTCCACCTCCTGGGTTCAAGCGATTCTCCTGCCTCAGCCACCTGAGTAGCTGGTGCTACAGGCACGCACCACCACGCCAGGCTACTTTTTGTATTTTTAGTAGGGAGGTGGTTTCACCATGTTGGTCGAGCTGGTCTCGAACTCCTGACCAAGTGATCCACCCGCATCTGCCTCCCAAAGTGCTGGGATTACAGGCATGGGCCACCGCGCCCAGCCACATTTACCATTTTTAAGTGTAAAGTCTAGTGGTCATAAATACATTTATATACATATATATATATATACATTTTTTTTACCCTCCACCCTTTTCTTCCTGTCCTCCAGTAGCCACCATTCTACTCTCTACCTTCATGAGATCCACCTTTTAGCTCCTGTATATGGGTGAGAAATGGGAATCTTTGTAATGACCTCCAGTTCCATCCATGTGGCTGCAAATGACAGGATGTTATTCTTTCTATGGATGAGTAGTCTCCACTATGCGTATGTACTACATTCTCTCTATCCATTTACCCACTGATGGGCAGGTAGGTTGACTCCTCATCTTGGCTACTGTGAACAGTGCTGCACCAATCATACGAGTGCAGATATCACTTCGATATATTGATTTACTTTCCTTTGGATATAAACCCAGTAGTGAAATTGCTGGATACTATGAAAGTTCTCTTTTTTTCTTTTTTTCTTTTTTGAGAAAGAGTTTCCCTCCTTAGCCCAAGCTGGAGTCAAAGTGGTGCGACCTTGGCTCATTGCAACCTACGCCTCCTGGGTTCAAATGATTTTCCTGCCTCAGCCTCCCTAGTAGCTGGGATTACAGGTGCACACCACCATGCCTGGCTACTTTTTGGTTTTTTTAGTATAGATGGGGTTTCCCCATGTTGGCTGGGCTGCTCTCAAACTCATGACCTCAACTGAGGTGCCCGCCTCAGTCTCCCAAAGTGCCGGGATTACAGGCATGATCCACCGCACCCAACCTCTTTTTAGTTCTTTAAAGGACTTCCATACTTTTCTCCGTAATGGCTGTACTAATTTACACTCCTCCCAACAGGGTACCAGGGTTCTCCTTTCTCTACCACCTTGCCAGCATTTCTTTTGCCTGTCTTGCAGCTAAAAGCCATTTTATTTTATTTCATTTTATTTTGAGATGGAGTTTTGCTCTTCTCACCCAGGCTGGAGTGCAGTGGCGCGATCTCGGCTCACCACAACCTCCACCTCCCAGGTTCAAGCGATTCTCCTGCCTCAGCCTCCCGAGTAGCTGGAATTACAGGCACACGCCACCACGCCCGACTAATTTTTGTATTTTTAGTAGAGACAGTGTTTCTCTATGTGGGTCATACTGGTCTCAAACTCCCGACCTTATGAGATTCACCCACCTCAGGCTCTCAAAGTTCTAGGATGACAAACGTGAGCCACCTCACCCGGCCTAAAAGCCATTTTAATGGGGTGAGATGAAAACTCACTTTGAATTTAATTTGCGTTTCTCTGATGATGAGTGATACTGAGCAGTTTTTCGTATGTGGGGAAATTTCATGTCTTTTGCTCCTTTTTCAATTAAATCATTTGTTTTATTGAGTTGTTTGAGCTTCTTATATTTCTAGTTATTAATCCCATCTCAGATGCATAGTTTGCACATATTTGCTCCCAATCTGTGGGTTGTCTCTTCACTTTGTTGGTTTATTTTTAGCGGTGCAGAAGTTGCTTAGTATGAGGTAATCCCAATGGTCTATTTTTGCTTCGATTACTTGTGTTTTCAAGGTTTAAAACAAAATGTCTTTCTTCAGACAAATGTCCTGGAGCATTTCCCCAATATTTTGTTCTACGTGTTTCATAGGTTCAGGCCTTAGACTCACATCTTTAATCCATTTTCATTTGATTTTTGTGTATGGTGACAGGTAGAGGTGCAGTTTCATTCCTCTGCATGTAGATGTCCAGGTTTCCCTGCACTGTTTATTGAAAAGACTGTCCTTTCCTGATTGTGAGTTCTTGGCATCTTTGTCAAAGTCCATTGGATGGGCTGGGCTTGGTGGCTAACACCTGCAATTTCAGCACTTTGGGAGCCCGAGGTGGGTGGATCACCTGAGGCCAGGAGTTCAAGATTAGTCTGGCCGACGTGATGAAACATCATCTCCACTAAAAATATAAAAATTAGCTGAGCATGGTGGTCAGCACCTGTAATACCACTACTCAGGAGTTTGAGGCAAGAGAATGATTGAACCCAGGAGGCTGAGGTTGCAGTGAACCGAGATTGCACCTTTGCACTCCAGCCTGAGTGACAGAGCAAGACTCCATCTCAAAAGAAAAAATAAAAAACCATTGGATGTAAATGCATGGAATATATCTGTGTTATTCATTCTGCTCCGTTGTTCTATGTGCCTTTCTTTATGCCAGTGTCATGCTATTTTGCTTACTACAGCTCTGTAACATATTTTGAGATCAGGTAGTGTGATGCTCCTGTTTTCTCTTTATACCTTGAAGTCTCAAGACAGTGGGTGTCACATAAAAAAATTATGGAAAAAAGGATCCCAGGACTCCCAGGGCCCAATATTAGATAACAGAGTGTTGGCCATGAACCATCCTCAAAGATTTCCACTGAGTGGAGGACAGAAACCCTCATTTCCTCACCTCTCTCCTGTCTCATGTTCTAGGAAACCCTTCAAATAGTTGGCCTTCACCCACTGAACCAAGCTCCGAAACCGGTGAGTACAGAACCCTCTTATATCCGCTTTTGGAAACCTGGGGAGGTGGAAACCTTGGATTCAGGCGTTGACTCAGCATCTCACAGCTCTGACATTGTACACCTGTCTTCCACCATCTCCGAACTCCAGATACTCCTACAGCGAAAGGGATCTGGGCCCAACACAGGGCTCAGTGAAATCTCTTCATCTCTCATTTTATGGAGCTGAGACCTCCTACAAGCTAGAAGAATGATTGCCAATCTGACATCCTTCTCAGGAAAAATGCAATGTTTGTTCTGCCTGCATTCCTAACTGGAGGATAAATTCCTGGAGACTTGAGAGAGGGAAGGGAAGGGAACATCTGATGAGGGCGAGGTGTTTTAGAGAAGTTCCACTTGCCAAGGAATGAGCTCCTGTAGGTCATGAAGCAACCCTGGCTGACTCAGCAGAGCAAGAGCCTTGCCGTAACAGAGAACAGAGCTCATGCACACACACTTCGACTCACTGACTCATTCAGCCACGGCCCCATGCTCAGGCTGTGCAGTGCGGAACCTTTTCCTATTGTTGCCATAACAAATTTCCACAAGATTCGTGGGTGAAAACAAAACGGTTTTTTAATTATCTTACAGTGCTGTAGCTCAAAGTAGGAAGTGCATCTTACTGGGCTAAAATCAAGGTGACAGCAAGGCTGCCTTCCCTCTGAGGATTCCAGGCACGAATCTGCTTCTCACTTGTCCCAGCTTCTAAAGGCTCCCAGTTCCTTGGCTCCTGGTCCCCTTCCTCCTTCCTCAAAGCCCACAAAGACTGGTCACATCTCACATGGCATCACTCAGTGCCTTCTTCCTTACCACACTTCTTTCTCTGAATGCTGCTCTCCCTTCTTCCTCATCTTTTGAAAACTTGGGGATTCTATTGGGTTCACCAAGATGAAAATCCCTCATAATCTCCTGGAAATCATCCAGGATACCCTTGTTTTAAGTTCAGCTGATTAGTAACCATAATTCCATCTGCAATCTTCATTCCTCCTTTCCATGTAAAATAACATATTCACAAGCTATGGAGGCTAGGACAGGGACATTTTGGGGTGGGACAGCATTCTCCTGCCTTCCACAAACAGTGAACAAGATGCATTTGGCCTCTGCCCTTGGGACACTGATATTGCAGATGGTTAAATGGGAGGGCAGAAAATGAATGCACAAGTGGATCTATAAATGAATGATCCATTGGGAAGCATCTGTGCATGAAATCTATTTTTTGTTTGTTCTTTTGTTTATTGAGACAGAGTTGCCCTCTGTCTTCCAGGCTACAGTGCAGTGTCACGATCTTGGCTCACTGCAACCTGCTTCTCCTGGATTCAAGTGATTCTCCTGCCTCCGCCTCTCGAGTAGCTGGGATTACAGGCAACTGCCACCGTGCCCGGCTAATTCTTTTTGTATATTTTTTGTAGAGAGGATGTTTCACCACGTTGGCCAAGCTTGTCTGAAACTCCCAACCTCAAGTGATCCGACCGTCTCAGCATGCCAAAGTAATGGGACTACAGGCGTGAGCCACTGTGCCCAGCCAGAATTCAAAATCAATAATAGATAATGCTGAGTGTATGATTTCAGGTGACAAAGAAGGTCTCACTATTCAGATATTTGTGACATTAATGAAAAACACGGATTGAACCCCTGAAAGATTGGCGGAAGGATTTTGCACACACAGCTGTCAGCCGTGAAGGCACAAAGGTGAAAACAATCTGATGTGGAAGGAAGAGGCTCTTCCTCAAATGCTGGGAATGAGGTGGGGAGAATGACAAGACGACTGTGGAGAGACGGAGAGCACACTGGGTACACAGGAAACTAAGGAGCAACAAGGAGTGTGTGTTTGACACTCACAGCCATTGGATTCACCTCGGGGTAACCAGGAATCCCTACATGATTAATATGACTGACATGAAAATAAAGGAGGCCCAGGGGCGTAACTGGAATCTAGGAGACCGTGGAAAAGGCAATTCCCGACCCACTGGTGAAATGTGGTGCTGATTTTGACACTAAGTGGATGAAGCAGATGGATATAAGCTATGCTTGTGAGGTAGAATCATTGGCTGGAAAGGCTTGCTGGGTTTGATTTTCCTACTTGTTTAATCCTCGCTTAATTAATTTCTTTCTGAGATTTATTCATCCTACACATAAATCAATACCTGGCAAAGGAGTGACAGATATATGAGGGGTGGTGGAAATGAAGAGACCTATTATAGCGTAATATACAAGTCTGTGAACGGTGGCTCACGCTTGTAACCCAGCACTGCAGGAGGCCAAGGCGGGTGGATTCCATGAAGTCAGGAGTTCCAGACCAGCCTGGCCAACATGGTGAAACCCTATCTGTACTAAAAATACAAAAATTAGCCGAGCATGGTGGTGCATCCCTGTAATCCCAGCTCCTACTCTGGAGGATGAAGCAGGAGAATGACTTCAACCCAGGAGGTGGAGGTTGCAGTGAGTGGAGATTGCATCACTGCACTCCAGCCTGGGTGACACAAGGAGACTCCGTCTCAAAAAATAAAAATAAGAAATGCATAAATATAATAAAACACACACGAATGACAAAGGCACCTGAATTCCAATCATCATTTTTCTATTTCTCTATAATTACTTCTTTGATCCTTTATCTTATCCATTAGGCAATGAGCCTAAAACCTCTTCCCTATTTGGCTTTCTGTGAGCATGAGATCACATAGAAAATGTGAAAGCCCGCTGAATCCTCCAGCACGGATCCTGGAATAGAGAAAGTGCTCTGTTCATCGCAAAAAAAAACTTGCCCACTCACCCAAATCCCCCACCTCACCCCTACTTCCAATCACCTGTGGAGATTCAGATAGACCATGGGGAGGAAACATTAATACTCCTTGGAGTGAGTCCAGATCTTGGAATCAGAGATCAGCGACAGCACTAGCTCCTGTTCCCCTTTCCTACTAATTCACAGGAGGACAGGTGGTATTGAAGCAATAGATGGTGGAGGGGGTGGTCCTTCCCCCAGCCTCTCGGGTAGAACAGCAGCCTAACATGTGTCTCCCGAGATCACAAAGAGCAGCACATTTCACACGGGCTTCAACACTATTTTCTGGCTGTTTGACATAAGAGAATCTTGCTTCGCTATTTTTAATCGTGATTTCACCTTTGTTTCCTTTCCTTGGTGAATGCAATTTGTTTGACTCAAGAATGCTGTGGATGTAGAAATCCTAAAGCACATTCGCTGTGTATCAATCCCAGTGCAGTCTTCCCAGAGAAGACTCTAAACAAATCCTGGACTGCACCTGGGCCTATGCCAATTCCTATCACTCACCGTCACTCCAGGGAGACAGAACACACAGAGAATACGTTACATAGGCAGGTTCATTACTAACAGATAAGCAGTGAGTGACAACAGAAGCCTGCATTTCAATGTGAGCCAGTCCCTCAAGGCTCAGAAAAGCTGCTCGGGACATATGGAGTCACCCCATTTGCAGTGTAACTGGGGGAAGCCAGAAAGCAGCCCAGCCTGGGTTTTGTACCCTGGAGCCACAGGAAGCACTCAGCTAAAGCACTGCATGACGTCCTCCTCCAGGAAGAACAGGAAGACAGCCCAGGCTGTTCTGAGACATTCCTCCTGATCTCAGGATGTTGCTATCTTAGTCCATTTTTGTTGCTCTAAAGGAACACTTGAGCCTGGGTAACTTCTAAAGAAAAGAGATTGGTTTGCCTCACAGTTCTGCAGGCTGTACTGGAAGCATGGCACCAGAATCTATTTCTCGTGATGGCCTCAGGCTGCTCCCACTCTGGCAGAAGGGAAGGAGGGTCTGTCTGTGCAGAGACCGCAGAGATCACACGGCAAGAGAGAGAGTAAGGGGGAGAGGGAGCGATGGAGCTTCCAAGCTCTTTTTAACAACCAGCTCTCCAGGAACTAACAGAGGGGGAACTTGCTAACCCCGTCTCCTTGGGACAGCATTGGTCTGTTCATGATGGATCCACCTCCATGACCCAAACACCTCTGAAGAGGCCCAACCTCCCACAATGGGGGTGAAATTTCAATGTGAGGTTTGAAAGGGTCAAACATCTCAACTAAAGTAGTTGTATCCTCAGCACGTTCTATGGTTACTATGAGAGCTATAATTGAGAAAGCAGGGGAAAGCTAGGTCTCCCGCCATTTGGGTGCTTGTCCTAAAGAGACGTTGTATGTGGTTACCTGCCAATCAAGAAATGCGAGACAATTCATAAAGAGGAACTGCTATGATTAGCTTCTTATTGGTGTCTCCTCTTCTTCCAGGTAACCCCAGACACCTACATGTTCTGATTGGGACCTCAGTGGTCAAAATCCCTTTCACCATCCTCCTCTTCTTTCTCCTTCATCGCTGGTGCTCCGACAAAAAAAGTAAGTCTCACGAAGCAGAGGCCAGAGAGCTCAGGGCCATGTGGGGAAGCAGGATGGGAGCACGCGGATGTGTGTTCCTCACCAGCAGGATGGTCCCTGGCCCAAGACAGGAGCCACAGAGGCAGGACTTTCTAGAGAGAGCACCAGATTCCCTTCCCCTGCCTTCAGCTCACAGACCATTGCCTGATTCTGAACTGTATCCTCACGTCCCCTGCAGCCACTCACATCCAGGAGAAGGTTCCATGACAGGCAGAAAGTGGGAGATAGAATCAATGGGATGGGACCTCAGAGCTATTCATGGGATGGGTCCTTGAACTCAGAGAGATAGAATGTCTGAGTCTGCTGTTGGCAACTGAGGGACCTCAGGCACCTATGGCCTCCCCCTGTTTGTTGGTATCTGCTTATGAAATGAGGACCCAGAAGTGCCCTCCGAGCTCTTTTGTTGACTTCCGTCTTCTACAGATGCTGCTGTAATGGACCAAGAGCCTGCAGGGAACAGAACAGTGAACAGCGAGGTAGGTGCTCCTCGGCCCAGCCTCGTGGCTAGTCTTATTCCCAAAGAGTCCTGAAAAATGTGAGCACCCTCCCTCACTCAGCATTTCCCTCTCTCCAGGATTCTGATGAACAAGACCATCAGGAGGTGTCATACGCATAATTGGATCACTGTGTTTTCACACAGAGAAAAATCACTCGCCCTTCTGAGAGGCCCAAGACACCCCCAACAGATACCAGCATGTACATAGAACTTCCAAATGCTGAGCCCAGATCCAAAGTTGTCTTCTGTCCACGAGCACCACAGTCAGGCCTTGAGGGGATCTTCTAGGGAGACAACAGCCCTGTCTCAAAACCGGGTTGCCAGCTCCCATGTACCAGCAGCTGGAATCTGAAGGCATCAGTCTTCATCTTAGGGCATCGCTCTTCCTCACACCACGAATCTGAACATGCCTCTCTCTTGCTTACAAATGTCTAAGGTCCCCACTGCCTGCTGGAGAGAAAACACACTCCTTTGCTTAGCCCACAATTCTCCATTTCACTTGACCCCTGCCCACCTCTCCAACCTAACTGGCTTACTTCCTAGTCTACCTGAGGCTGCAATCACACTGAGGAACTCACAATTCCAAACATACAAGAGGCTGCCTCTTAACACAGCACTTAGACACGTGCTGTTCCACCTCCCTTCAGACTATCTTTCAGCCTTCTGCCAGCAGTAAAACTTATAAATTTTTTAAATAATTTCAATGTAGTTTTCCCGCCTTCAAATAAACATGTCTGCCCTCATGGTTTCGGTAACGAGACTCTTTTCTTGCCTAAGGCTTCCGGTGTTATCATTACCATGTCCACATAACCCCATCTGTTCTCCATTGGGTTCTCAGCCCTGGACTCTGAGCTTCTGGAAGCAGAATGGAGCCTGATTTGTCTCTGAGACTCCAATTTCCATCCAAAGATACAGCACATAGGAGGCTCCAAGGATCGTGAATCACATGAACAAGTGATATTCTTACTCTCTGCAGACCTGGAAAGCTGGCAGAGTCATTCCACGATGAAACATTTGTAGAGTCATAGGCCTTGTTAGCCTCATCTCCACGGGGACACATATCAACATATCATCTTTCATAATATAAATATACAGTCGGTCCTCCATATCTGTGGGGTTTACAGGTGTTTATTGAACCAACAATAAATCAAAAATGTTTTCAGAAAAAAATCCCCGAAGTTTCAAGAAGCAAAAAACTATGTTGAATCGACACAAATTGAGTGGCGTGTAGGCTGTGTCAGGAATTATAAGTAATCAAGAGATGATTTCATGTATACAGGAGGATGTGCATGGGTTCTATGCAATTACTATGCTATTTTTTTTTTTTGAGACAGTCTCACTCTCTCACCCAGGCTGGAGTGCAGTGGCATGATCTCAGCTCACTGCAACCTCCGCCTCCCAGGTTCAAGCGATTGTCTTCCCTCAGCCTCCCCAGTAGCCTCCCCTAGGATTACAGGCACGTGCCACCATGCACAGATAAATTTTTTTGTGTGTGTATTTTTAGTAGAGATGGGGTTTCAGAATGTTGGACCAGCTGGTCTTGAACTCCTGACCTCGTGATCTACCCAACTCAGCCTCCCAAAGTGCTGGGATTACAGGCGTGAGCCACGGTGCCCAGCTTCGCTATGCCATTTCATGCAAGGGGCTTGAGCATCTGCAGATTTTGGTATCTGAATGGGGATCCTGGAACCAATCACCCAGGAATAGTGAAGGACCACAGTATATAATTTTTATTTGTCAATCTTAAAAATAAAGCATAAAAAGTTTACAACAACAAGATAAAAAATAAGAAGTGTTTTTATAGTGTGAGGATAAGTTTAGATTTATTTTTTCCTACGTGTAACCCTATGGTCCTGTGTTATTTATTGAGAAAATATTCTATTCCACCTTAAACTACATGGCAGCCTTTGTCAACTATGAAGGGACTGTGTATCCACAGATGTATTTTAGACACAGTTTTCTGCCCAGTGGTTCTCTGTATCCCCTCTCATGAGGATGCTGCATTTCATATAAACTTATAGAACCCCTTAAAATTTGGTAACCTGAGTTCTCTGATTTGTTATTATAGGTTATTTAGTTTGCTTTTTTTTTTCTTTCTTGAGACAGACTCTTCCTCTGTCACCCAAGCTGGAGTTCAGTGGCTTGAGCTCAGCTCACTGCAGCCTCCGCCTCCCAGGTTCAAGCAATTCTCGTGCCTCAGGTTTAGTACTAGAAACTCATCAGGAAAATTAGAATGGCTTTTTGTCACAATTACTCTGATAATGTTAATAATACCTCTTAGATATTTTGCACATTACACATGAAGAAAAGTTTGAATCTCAGATAAAAACAAAAATACATCAAAAGTCTTTAATGTAAGCACAGAATTCAATCACCTCATGTGTGAGAGGTTGGATCTGAGACGTCTTTTGAGTCTGGTCATAGTGAAGGATGCAAGGTGGCAATTGTAGTCACAACAATTTCCAGGAAGCCATGTTCCGCTCTTGAGCGAGCACCCACTGGGCCTCATGCAAGGTAGAAAGAGCCTGCGTACGTCACCCTCCCATGATGTGGTCAACATGTAAACTGCATGGGCAGGGCGCCAAATAACATCCTGTGCGCTGCTGAGCTGAGCTGGGGCGCGGCCTCCTGTCTGCACCGGCAGCACCATGTCGCTCACTGTCGTCAGCATGGCGTGCGTTGGTGAGTCCTGGAAGGGAATAGAGGGAGGGAGAGTGGGGATGGAGATCTCGGCCTAGAGGTAAAGATATGGGCCTGGAGTGGAGATATGGGCCTGGAGTGGAGATATGGGCCTGGGTGTGGAGATATGGGCCTGGAGGTGTAAATATGGGCCTGGAGTGGAGATATGGGCCTGGAGGGGAGATATGGGCCTGGGTGTGGAGATATGGGCCTGGAGTGGAGATACGGGCCTGGAGTGGAGATATGGGCCTGGAGTGGAGATATGGGCCTGCAGGTGGAGATCTGGGCCTGGAGTGGAGATATGGGCCTGGAGTGGAGATATGGGTCTGATGTGGAGATATGGGCCTGGAGTGGAGATATGGGCCTGGAGTGGAGATATGGGCCTAGAGGGGAGATCTGGGCCTGGAGTGGAGATATGGGTCTGATGTGGAGATATGGGCCTGGAGTGGAGATATGGGTCTGATGTGGAGATATGGGCCTGGAGTGGAGATAGGGGCCTGGAGTGGAGATATGGGCCTGGAGTGGAGATCTGGGCCAGGAAGTGTTGATCTGGGCCTGGAGCCTGGGTCTCTCCACAGCTGAGAGCCCTGTTCTTGGCAGCAGGTAGCAGGGAGGCTAAGTTTACCTTCAGCCCAGCAAGGGCCTGGCTGCCAAGACACACAGTGCAGTGGGGGCAGCAGGGTGCCCTGGTTTGCCTGCAGTTGGATCGTCTATCATGATCTTTCTTTCCAGGGTTCTTCTTGCTGCAGGGGGCCTGGCCACTCATGGGTGAGTCCTTCCCCAAACCTTAGGGTGTCATCTCCCCACATAAGAGGATTTTTCTGAAACAGGAGGGAAGTCCTGTCGGGGAGTCTCTCATAAACTAGGAAGAGGGGACCCTTGGATACTCGGCCCACATTTCTGACCTCGCCCTCCCCGGCCTTTCTTTCCCTTTCCTGAGTCAAGCTCTGTGAAGACTGGGGTGAGACTGGGGTGCTCCAAGCTGGGGTGTGCAGGGAGGAAGTGGTGTCAGCAGCAGAGAAAGAGAGGGAAGCAGTGCTAGGAACAGCAGGTCCTCTGAGGACAAAGGTATAACTGACACCCTCCAGCGTTTCCGTGACGGTAGGGACTGCAGTGTGGCTGCGGTCTTTCTACCAGAAGAGGGGGGAAACCACAGCCATGGCCCTGACATTCCAAATCCTCTGAGGGGGCTCAGTTCATGAATTGGCTGATATTCCATTCACATAGGACATGCCCTCCATGCCGTGTCTACTTTGTGTTGTTTTATGTGAGTAATTTTGCAGTATTAAAATCTAGTAAGAGTCACTTATTCAGCACTTGCTCAAAGTTCTCAGCTGACACTTGTTGTAGGGAGACGCCATGTCTATGTGGGGTGGGTCCTTCCTGTAGCCCTGGGCACCCAGGTGTGGTAGGAGCCTTAGAAAGTGGAAATGGGAGAATCTTCTGAGCACAGGGAGGGAGGGGTGGCTCCACATCCTCCTCTCTAAGGCAGTGCCTCCTTCTCCCCCAGGTGGTCAGGACAAACCCTTCCTGTCTGCCCGGCCCAGCACTGTGGTGCCTCGAGGAGGACACGTGGCTCTTCAGTGTCACTATCGTCGTGGGTTTAACAATTTCATGCTGTACAAAGAAGACAGAAGCCACGTTCCCATCTTCCACGGCAGAATATTCCAGGAGAGCTTCATCATGGGCCCTGTGACCCCAGCACATGCAGGGACCTACAGATGTCGGGGTTCACGCCCACACTCCCTCACTGGGTGGTCGACACCCAGCAACCCCCTGGTGATCATGGTCACAGGTCAGAGGCTTTCTGTCTGGGCTTCTCACTGTCCCACCTCCTGAATCCCAGAGCTTCTGGTGGGGGTGTCCATCAGGGTCCCATCACCCAGGCCCCAACTGTATTTGGGGTCAAGGGGGATTGAATACAGGGGAAATGGGCGCTGTGGTGGGAAGAATCACTGTCGCCAATGATGGCTACATTGTAAACCCTGGAGCCTGTGACTATTTATGTTATAGGGCAGGGGACTGAAGGGGAAGGTGGAGCTCAGGTTGTTGATGAGTTGACCTTGAGATGGGGAGACAGCCTGGACTGTCCTGCTGGGCTCAGTGTAATCACAAGGGTCCGCGTGAGAGGTGGAGGAAGAGGGGAGTGGGGATTAGAGCAGTGTAGTGGGAGGGAGACGCTATCAGCCACTGTGGGCTTTGAAGGTGGAGGAAGGCCACTAGTCACAGAATGCAGGTGGCCTCTAAGGGCTGGAGAAGTCAAGAGAACTGATTCGCTGAGTCTCCAGAGGGAACGCAGCCCTGCAGATGCCTTGATTTCAGCACAGGGAGAACTGGATCCAATTTCTGTCCCCAGAAGTGGAAGGGGTCAGTGTGTTCTCTCCTGCTGCCATGTTTGTGATAATTTTCTGCAGCAGCAACAGGAAACCGACACAGGAACCCAGGTCAAGGACAAGCTAGGAAACCAAACAAGGATAGCCAGGTGTGGTGGTGGGCACGAGTAATCCAACGACTGGGGAGGCTGAGGCAAGAGAATCACTTGAACCGGGGAGGCAGAGGTTGCAGTGAGCCAAGACAACACCACTGCACTCCAGCCTGGGTGAAAAAGTGACTGTCTCAAAAATAAATTAATTAATCAATTAATTAAAGAAACCAAACAAGGAGAAGGTTGGCTACCGTGGGATCAGCAAGGGTGGGATGCTGATGCCACCACCAGGCTCCATCCACATAGGAAGGGGTTGATGCTCCTGGAACCAGCACCAGGGACCACCCTATGGAAGCTGGGGCCATGGAGAAGGCACAGACATGGCAGGAGAGGCTCCCAATCCCCATCAGGAACAGGGTGTGTGGACACTGATGTCTGCCTTACTGATGAGTTGATACCTCTGCCAGAGACTCCAATTTGTTCAAAAGAGATTGATTCAGGCTGCTGAGAGCCTGGACATGCAGCCTGTCCTCTTCCACCCCCACATAGACAGCAGGAAAGAGACTAGTGGGAAAGAGATACAACAGCCCAAGAGATGAGGCTCTCTTCACA
The DNA here is from genome assembly GCF_000001405.40 of Homo sapiens. Taxonomy (NCBI): domain Eukaryota; kingdom Metazoa; phylum Chordata; class Mammalia; order Primates; family Hominidae; genus Homo; species Homo sapiens. Next base: position 8,453 of record NT_113949.2, on the reverse strand, counting down.
GTGGGAAGGGAGTCAGGGGCTACTGGAGACAGAGGGACAGAGAAGAGGGAGGAAGACAAATGGAGGGACCTGCACCAGGGGATATGGGCACAGAAAAGACACGGAGACACAGAGAGGGAGGAGAGAGACAGACCTCTGGGAGGGGAACCCTCACTCATTCCAGGTGCCATGGATGGGATGATAAAGAGAGATGCCTTCTAAACTCACAACTTCTCTTTCTAGGAAACCACAGAAAACCTTCCCTCCTGGCCCACCCAGGGCCCCTGCTGAAATCAGGAGAGACAGTCATCCTGCAATGTTGGTCAGATGTCATGTTTGAGCACTTCTTTCTGCACAGAGAGGGGATCTCTGAGGACCCCTCACGCCTCGTTGGACAGATCCATGATGGGGTCTCCAAGGCCAACTTCTCCATCGGTCCCTTGATGCCTGTCCTTGCAGGAACCTACAGATGTTATGGTTCTGTTCCTCACTCCCCCTATCAGTTGTCAGCTCCCAGTGACCCCCTGGACATCGTGATCACAGGTGAGAGTGTCCAGACATTCTTCTCATTGTCATTGGGACACAGAGTGAATGATCCAGGACTTGGAACCCCCAGGTGGTCATGAGGAAGATAAGCGTGAGATTCTTATGGAGAGAGACTGACTCGGTGAGGTCTGTACCAACAGAGACAGGGAAACAGGAGACATAAGTACAGACCAGGTGTCATAACAGAGGACAGACACAGGGGCCATACGGGGAAGTAGAAAAGAGAGAAAGAGGTAAAGGAGACACTCAGACAGACAGACATGTGCCAGAGAGAAGTGTCCTTCCATGCTGACTTTGCTCAGAGACCTGGCACAGGTTAGAAGTTTCATTTCTGTTTTGTCTCCACAAAGTGCTTCTACGAGGAGAACCCAAGGACACCCATATTTCTGACCTGAGTTGGGCCCTGTGGCCTCAGGCCTTGTGGCATCTACAGATGCCATGTTTATTCTGACACCTCTGCCTTCCATGCAGTGGAGCCATAATTATCCCAGGATATCATGGCCCCAGAACACCAACCCCTAAATACTGTGTGTACTTGGTGTCCCCAGACTAGATTCTGAGGCTCATATTCCAAATAATCCTACATATAATAGGATCACTGAGAGACACAGAGATAAATCAGGGACTTCAAAAAGCAAAGGCATAAACACACAGAGAATGAGCCAGAGGAAGGGGATTGAGAGACTCACAGACACACAAAAAGAAAGAAAAGAGGGCAGAGGAGTGGAGAGAATGCTGGAAGGGAGGAGAGAAAAGCCCCAAAATCAGAACCCTGAGGGAGGGGCACAAAGACAGAGAAAGATAAAGATGTGGGGATGGATTGCAGAGATTCCAAATAGAACTAGAGAGACTGAGAGGCAGAGAAAGACAAGGAGATGGAGAGAGACAGATGATAGATGGATAGATAGATATAGATAGATGATAAATAGGTAGATGATAGATAATGGATAGGTTATAGATACATAGATGATGATTGATAGATGATACATAGAGATGATGATGATGATGATGATGAAGATAGATAGATAGAAGACACATATATAAATATATAGATACATAGATGATACATAGAGACTGACAGGCAGACAGAGAGGTAATAGAGAGAGAGAGAGATGATACATAGATACAGATAATACATAGATGATTGATGGATAGACAGATAGACAATTGATAGATAAATGATACATAGATATAGATGACAGATAATTTGTAGATAGACACAAAATAGATAGATAGATAATAGATAGAAATATGCAGAAAGTTATGAACAAGACAGAAAGTGAGAGACTCAGAATTATAGAAAAAGGAAGATCAAGTCAACCAATCCAAGGAGAGTCAGAGAGAATAAAACAATCCAAAAAGGGAAAGCATACCCAGGGGTGGGGAAGTGAGGTCAGAGACCTAGAGAGACAGAGAAGGCGGAAGGAGGAAATAGACATGAAGAGAGTTGGGGTGGAGGGTGAGAGAGAGAGAGAGCATTAGGTCATAGAGCAGGGGAGTGAGTTCTCAGCTCAGGTATGAGGGGAGCTGTGACAAGGAAGAACCTCCCTGAGGAAACTGCCTCTTCTCCTTCCAGGTCTATATGAGAAACCTTCTCTCTCAGCCCAGCCGGGCCCCACGGTTCAGGCAGGAGAGAACGTGACCTTGTCCTGTAGCTCCTGGAGCTCCTATGACATCTACCATCTGTCCAGGGAAGGGGAGGCCCATGAACGTAGGCTCCGTGCAGTGCCCAAGGTCAACAGAACATTCCAGGCAGACTTTCCTCTGGGCCCTGCCACCCACGGAGGGACCTACAGATGCTTCGGCTCTTTCCGTGCCCTGCCCTGCGTGTGGTCAAACTCAAGTGACCCACTGCTTGTTTCTGTCACAGGTGAGGAAAACCCGTGTCTGTCCCATGTCTTATGATCCTAGAGCCATAGCTGAGGAGCTTCCTGCCGATGATGGGGAGAAGCATGGACAGATGCAGAGAGAACACGAAGACTGGGTGTGAAGGGGGGGTCAGGGTGCAGGATGGCAGACAGGGCACCTCCAAACCCTCTTGCATGGCCTGCATGGAGGCCCATGGTCAGGGCTCCAGGCACCCAGGCAGATGGAGAAAGCGGTCAGGACAGACCCAGAGAAGGGGAGACTGGGCTCAGTTTGGGGAGATCAGAGGTTCCCTCAGCCCCTCAACCTTACCCATTTCCCAGAAGCCCATCCTGGCCTCTCACCCACACAGAGAGATGTCATCACCAGCAACCCCTACACTCTTTTCTTTTCATTTTCAAAAATATTTATTGAGGTTAAATGTAACTATATAATTTACCAACTTTACCATTTTTAAAAGTAAAATCTAGTGGTCATAAATACCTTTATATGCTGGGTGTGGTGGTTCACGGTTGTAATCTTGGCGCTTTGAGAGGCCAAGAAAGGTGGATCATTTAAGATCAGGGACTCGAGATCAGCCTGGCCAACATGCGGGAAATTCATCTTTACTAAACAGACAAGAAAAATTAGCCAAGCATGCCGGCATGCACCTGTAGTCCTAGCTACTTGGGAGGCTGAGGCAGGAGAAGCACTTAAAGCCAGGAGGCAGAGGTTGCACTGAGCCGAGATCATGCCACTGCACTGCAGCCTGGGAGACAGAGAGAGACTCTGTTTCTAAATAAATAAATACATCTATATTCTTTTTTTTGTTACCCTCCACCCTTCCCTTCCTGGCCTCTGGTATCCACCATTCTATTCTCTACCTTCATGAGATCCACCTTTTATCTCCTGCATGTGGTGAGAAATGGGAATCTTTGTAATGACCTCCAGTTCCATCCATGTGGCTGCAAATGACAGGATGTTATTGTTTCTATGGATGAGTAGTCTCCACCGTGTGTGTGTACTACAGTTCTCTATCCATTCACCCACTGATAGGCAGGTAGGTTGACTCCACATCTTGGCTACTGTGAACAGTGCTGGAACAGTCATATGAGTGCAGATATCACTTCGATACACTGATGTCCTTTCCTTTGGATATAAACCCAGTAGTGAAATTGCTGGACACTATGAAAGTTCTCTTTTTTTTTTTTCTTTTTTGAGAAAGAGTTTCCCTCCTTAGTCCAAGCTGGAGTCAAAGTGGTGCGATCTTGGCTCATTGCAACCTCTGCTTCCTAGGTTCAAACGATTCTCCTGACTCAGCCTCCCTAATAGCTGTGATTACAGGTGCACGCCACCATGCCTGACTAATTCTTGTATTTTTTAGCACAGACGGGATATCCCAATTTTGGGCAGGCTGCTCTCAAACTCCTGACCTCAAGTGAGGTGCCTGCCTCGGTTTCCCAAAGTGCTGAAGTTACAGGCATAAGCCACTATGCCCAGCCTCCTTTTAGTTTTTTAAAGAATTTCCATACTTTTCTCCATAATAGTTGTACTAATTTACATTCCTACCAACAGGGTACCAGGGTTCTCCTTTCTCTACCATCTTGCCAGCATTTGTTTTGCCTGTCTTGCAGATAAAAGCCATTTTACTTTATTTATTTATTTATTTATTTATGTTGAGATGGAGTTTCACTCATAGTCGCCCAGGCTGGAGTGCAAGGGTGTGATCTCGGCTCACTGCAACCTCTGCCTCCCGCGTTCAACTGATTCTCCTGCCTCAGCCTCCAAAGTAGCTGGGATTACAGGCATGTGCCACCACGCCTAGCTAATTTTTGTATGTTTAGTAGAGAGGGAGTTTCTCCATGTTGGTCAGGCTGGTCTCCCGACCTCAGGTGATCCGCCCACCTCCGCCTCCCAAAGTGCTGGAATTACAGGCGTGAGCCACCGGCCTAAAAGGCATTTTAATGGGATGAGATGAAAACTCATCGCGATTGTAATTTACATTTCTGTGATGATGAGTGATGCTGAGCACTTTTTCATATACGTGATCGCCATTTCTATGTTTTGTTTGTGGAGAAATGTCTCCTCATGTCTTTTGCTCGTTTTTTAATTAAATTGTTTTATTGAGTTGTTTGAGCTTCTTATATTTCCAGTTATTAATCCCATCTCAGATGAATAGTTTGCAAATATTTGCTCCTATTTTGTGGGTTGTCTCTTCACTTTGTTGGTTTATCTTTGGTGGTGCAGAAGTTGCTTGGTTTGATGTAATCCTAATGGTCTATTTTTTGCTTTGATTACTTGTGTTTTGAAGGTTTTAAACAAAATGTCTTTCGTCAGACAAATGTCTTCCCCATTATTTTCTTCTACATGTTTCATAGGTTCAGGCCTTAGACTCATGTTTTTAATCCATTTTCATTTGATTTTTGTGTAAGGTGACAGGTATAGATGCAGTTTTATTCCTCTGCATGTAGATATCCAGTTTTCCCCACACCATTTATTGAAGACTGTCCTTTCTTGATTGTAAGTTCTCGGCACCTTTGTCAAAGTCCATTAAATGGGCTGGGCATGGTGGCTCACACCTGCAATTCCAGCACTTTGGGAGGCCGAGGCGGGTGGATCACCTAAAGCCAGGAGTTCAAGACCAGGCTGGCCAACAGAGTGAAACCTCGTCTCTACTAAAAATACAAAAATTAGCTGAGCATGGTGATCAGTGCCTGTAATACCACTACTCAGGAGTTTGAAGCAAGAGAATTTCTTGAATCCAGGAAGTGGAGGTTGCATTGAGCTGAGATTGCACCTCTACACTCCAGCCTGCATGACAGAGCAAGATTCCATCACACACACACAAAAGAAAGCCATTGGATGTAAATGCATGGATTATATCTGTGTTCTCCATTCTGTTCCATTTTTTATGTGCCTTTCTTTATGCCAATGTCATGCTGTTTTGCTTACTACAGCTCTGTAACATATTTCTAAGTCAGGTAGTGTGATGCTCCTGTTTTCTCTTTATACCTTCAAGTCTCAAGACAGTGGGCATCGCACACAAAAATTATGGAGAAAAGGATCCCAAGACTCCCAGGGTCCAACATTAGATAACAGAGTGTTGGCCATGAACCAACCTCAAAGATTTCCATTGAGTAGAGGACAAGCACCCTCATTTCCTCACATCTCTCCTGTCCCGTGTTCTAGGAAACCCTTCAAGTAGTTGGCCTTCACCCACAGAACCAAGCTCCAAATCTGGTGAGTAAAGGACCCCTCTTATCTCTGCTTTTGGAAACCTGGGGAGGTGGAAGCCTTGGATGCAAGTGTTGGCTCAAACCTCCCAGCTCTGTGAATGAGGGCCTGTCTTCCACCATCTCTGAACTCCAGACACTCCAACAGTGAAAGGGATCTAGGGCCACCAAAGGGCTCAGCGAAGTCTCTTTACCTTTAATTTCCTGCAGGTGAGACCTCCTACAAGCTAGAAGAATAATTGCCAATCTGACATCCTTCTCAGGAAAAATGCAGTGTTTTTTCTGCCTGCATTCCTAACTGGAGGATAAATTCCCGGGGGCTTGAGAGAGGGAAGGGAAGGGAACATCTGATGAGGGTGGGTGTTTTAGAGAAGTTCCACTTGCCAAGGAATGAATTACTGTTGGTCATCAGGCAACCCTGGCTGACTCAGCAGAGCAAGAGCCTTGCCGTAACAGAGAACAGAGCTCATGCACGCACACTTCGACTCACTGACTCATTCAGCCACAGCCCCATGCTCAGGCTGTGCAGTGTGGAAGCTTTTCCTATTGTTGCCATAACAAATTTCCACAAGATTCGTGGGTGAAAACAAAACGGTTATTTAATTATCTTACAGTGCTGTAGCTCAAAGCATGACGTGCATGTCACTGGGCTAAAATCAAGGTGACAGCAAGGCTGCCTTCCCTCTGAGGGTTCCAGGCAAGAATCTGCTTCTCACTTTTCTCAGCTTCTAGAGGCTCCCATGTTCCTTGGCTCCTGGTACCCTTCCTCCTTCCTCAAAGCCCACAAAGACTGGTCACATCTCACATGGCATCACTCAGACCCTTCTTCCTTACCACACCTCTTTCTCTGAATGCTGCTCTCCCTTCTTCCCCTTCTTTTGAAAACTTGGGGATTCTATTGGGTTCACCAAGATGAAAATCCATCATAATCTCCCGGAAATCATCCAGGATACCCTCCTTTTAAGTTCAGCTGACTAGCAACCATAATTCCATCTGCAATCTTCATTCCTCCTTTCATGTAAAATAACATATTCACAAGCTATGGAGGCTAGGACATGGACATTTTTGGGGTGGGACAACATTCTCCTGCCTTCCACAAACAGTGAACAAGATGCATTTGGCCTCTGTTCTTGGGACACTGATCTTGCAGATGGTTAAATGGGAGGGCAGAAAATGTAGGCACAAGGGGACCAATAAATGAATGATCTATTGAGAAGCATCTGTGCATGAAATCTATTTATTTATGTATTTACCTACTTGTTTATTGAGACGGAGCCTTGCTCTGTCGTCCAGGCTAGAGTGCGGTGGCATGATCTCGGCTCACTGCAACCTCCACCTCCTGGGCTGAACGGATCTCCTCCCTCAGCCTCTCCAGTAGCTGGGATTACAGACCACAACCACCACGCCCGGCTAACTCTTTTTGCATATTTTCTGTAGAGAGGATGTTTCACCATGTTGGCCAGGCTGGTCTCAAATTCCCAACCTCAGGTGATCCAATAGCCTCTGCCTCCCAACACGCTGGGATAAGAGGCATGAGCCACGGGGCCAAGCCAAATTTTCAAATCAATAATAGATAATGCTGAGTGTATGATTTCAGGTGACAGAGAAGTTCTCACTAATCAGATATTTGTGACATTAATGAAAAACACGGATTGAACCCCTGAAAGATGGGCGGAAGGATTTTGCACACACAGCTGTCAGCCGTGAAGGCACAAAGGTGAAAATAATCTGATGTTGAAGGAAGAGGCTCTGCCTCAAATGCTGGGAATGACGTGGGGAGAATGACAAGACGACTGTAGAGAGACGGAGAGCACACTGGGTACACAGGAAACTAAGGAGCAACAAGGAGTGTGTGTTTGACACTCACAGCCATTGGACTCACCTCGGGGTAACCAGGAATCCCTACATGATTAATATGACTGACATGAAAATAAGGGAGGCCCAGGTGCGTAACTGGAATCTAGGAGACCGTGGAAAAGGCAATTCCCGCCCCACTGGTGAAATGTGGTGCTGATTTAGACACTAAATGAATGAAGTAGATGGATATAAGATATGTTTGTGAGGTAGAATCATTGGCTGGAAAGGCTTGCTGGGTTTGATTTTTTCCTGGTAGTTTAATCCTCGCTTCACTAACTTATTTCTGAGATTTATTTCTCCTGCATCTAAATCAATACCTGGCAGAGGAGGGAGAGCTAGATGAGGGGTGGTGCAAATGAAGGGACCTAGTATAGCATAATATACAAGGCTGTGAACGGTGGCTCACGCCTGTAACCCAGCACTTCAGGAGGCCAACGCGGGTGGATCACATGAAGTCAGGAGTTCGAGACCAGCCTGGCCAACATGGAGAAACCCTATCTCTACTAAAAATACAAAAATTAAACAGGCATGATGGTGGTGCATGACTGTAATCCCAGCTACTCTGGAGGAGGAAGCAGGAGAATGACTTCAGCCCTGGAGGCAGAGGTTGCAGTGAGTGGAGATCGCGTCACTGCACACCAGCCTGGGCTACACAGGGATACTCTGGCTCAAAAAATAAAAATAAAAAATACATAAATATAATAATATACACAAATGATGCAGGCACCTGAATTCCAATCATCATTTTTCTATTTCTCTATAATTACTTCTTTGATCCTTTATCTTATCCATTAGAAAATCAGCCTAAAACCTCTTCCATATTTGGCTTTCTGTGAACATGAGATCATATGGAAAATATGAAAGCCCCCTGAACCCACCAGCACAGGCCCTGAAATAGGGAAAGTGCTCTGTTCATCACAAGAAACTTGCCCCCTCACCCAAATCCCCCACCTCACCCCTACTTCCAATCACCTGTGGAGATACAGATAGATC